>NC_000006.12:123858668-124161699 GCF_000001405.40 Homo sapiens
TGTGGATCAGAATCACAGCCATATTGGGCCACCATCAAAATCAGAGTCATATTGAGTGGGAAATAAGTTCAGCACATTATTGAAGCGTCAGTTTTGTGGAAGCAGCTGAGGTCAGTACTGGGAAGTTCTTGAAAACAGTGAGTGTGATGCCAGAAGATTTAATTGAGACCAGTCCTGGGTAAGCAGCTATGGTGATGGGAATGGATCTGAGGACACCAAATGCTAAGACAGGTGAACTCATTTTTTTTAGTCATTCTTATACAAAGGATAAGATTTTGGACATATCTTCTTTATAAGCACATATATTGACATATGTGTGTTTCATTATATATGTGCATATGTATAACTTAAACATATATATGTACATAAATTACTAGAATTTATATTGTTTTAAAGGAAGAATTACCACACAGCATATGACTGCACAATTTAGTATACAACTAATAATTAATTAATGACTACACAATTAGCTCCTTTTTTTGGAATGACATAAGAAATTCAATCACAAATAGAAGCTATTCTTTTGAATTGCTATTAGAATTCACTGATGCTGTGAACAGATTCCATGTGATCAGTACATTTTTCCATATAGATAGACTGTATGGAAAGCAAATCATATCAGTGATATGTGGGAAGCAAAATTATAATCAAAAGATTATGTGATGAGTTGGGTGAATCAATGAGGCTGGTCATGGCAGTGATAACAGTCATATTGCAATGAGACCATTGGAGTATTTCTGTTCCCTCCACAGTGTTTCTGTTTTCTTCTGTTATAGACACACCGAGAATACATTTTCCCTGGACTTGTAAGTTGCAAGATGTTATTTTAAAGAGGCAGCCAATTCAGGACTTGACAGATTTCTCTAAATCTTGTGCAGTAGCATCCTCAAGAGCATTTTGAGAAGGACCATTTTAGCATGTGGTCCATCCATTGGTCCTGTTATCTACCCCCTGTTTCATCTGTAACACTCTCACATTCATCATGTTAGAACAGGGATCATCTAGGTATCTGCCTATTTACTTTTTTTTGTTTGTTTTTGAGATGGAGTCTCGCTCTTGTCACCCAGGCTGTAGTGCAGTGGCACGATCTTGGCTCATTGCAACCTCCACCTCCCGGGTTCAAGTGATTCCCCTACTTCAGTCTCCTGAGTAGCTGGGATTACAGGCACATGCCACAATGCCTGGCTAATTTTTGTATTTTTAGTAGAAACGGAGTTTTGCCATGTTGGCCAGGCTGGCCTCAAACTCCTGACCTCAAGTGATCCACCCGCCTCAGCCTCCAAAAGTGCTGGGATTACAGTCGTAAGCCACCCCGCCTGGCCCTGTTCGCTTTTGAGAAGCAAATTTGCTTGTCAAAAATGTCCCCTTTTAGTTAGTTAGCACTAAGGATAAATCAGATGTGATAAGGAAAGTCAATGCCACAGTGGAAGCACTTCTACTTGAAGCACTGAAAACACATCTACTCTCTAAAAGTACAAGATGTTGAGGAGATGGTGTCTGGCCCCAAGAATTTCACCAAACATCAGCAGAGCATTTACTCACCCACAGGCTGAGGCAGGAGAGAAATACAGATGGAAGAAAAGATGCACCCATCTCCCTCCTGCCAATTTTTTGTTAAAAAAAATGCTGGGAATTATTTAAAAAGTATATTATCTCCAGAAACAGTAATTATAAGGCTGGGGATGTGGATTTGATTGAAAACCAACTGCACCAATGTGTTCCTAGCGTTTAAAGTAATAGTGTATGTATTATTATTATCTGAGACAGGATGTCACTCTGTCAGCCAGGCTGGAGTGCAATGGCTCTGTCATGGCTCACTGCAGTCTCAACCTCCTGGGCTCAAGTGATCCTCACACCTCAGCCTCCTGAGTAGCTGGGACTAAAGGCACATGCCACCATACCCAGCTAATTTTTGTATTACTTGTAGAGATGTGATTTCACCATGTTGCCCAGGCTGTCCTGAAACTCCTGGGCCCAAGTATTCTGTCCCCCTTGGCCTCCAAAGGGCTAGGATTACAAGTGTGAGCCACCATGCGTGGCAATAGTGTATATATTAATCTCTACTGAATTTATTGAAGCTTTTTATATATGAAAAATTATTTCCCTCTCTTCTGACCACCTCTCACATACTTTTCTCCCTCTCTGTTTTGCACTTCTCATGTCATGTCTCCTTGCCTCTAATTCACTCCCACTCAGTGTTTGCCCCTTTGAGAAAGCCTACCAGAAATATCAACTCCATTTTCAGAATGCCCGCAGTATGCCAGTTGTGTGCCCAGGTATCTTCCCAACATCTCTCCTCCATGCCCCAGCATTGCCACTCAGGTGTTCTTCACAGGTATCCTGTAGGAACAGCAGAGGATTAGAGACACTAGGTGGGTCCACATCGATGGGCTCCCAAATCTGTGTTCTTCCTATACCATGTCACCTCCTGTGCTATTAAATGATGTATTAGGGGCAGATAATGGCTTCCAATGAGTGCTTAGTTCACAATTACCACAGAGCCTTTAAGATTTCTGTCTACTTGTAATAAATACTTCTAATAAATCCTGACCAAAAGAGGCTAAGTAAATGTAAATTGAAGCCAGAAACAAATAAGAGGAAGTCTATTTCATTTTAGTAGCATATTTTAGAGGTCAGAAGCAAAGCTTTCTAAATATCTGCTCACAGTCTAATATTATATTGTCTGTGTGTCCAAAATTAATTCAGTCTATAAAGGTCAATAATGTAAAATGTATTCATGTGTTCAGGTAAAAATTTATGATGTGCTATAATGTGATGATGTTTGACTAGTTTACAGTCCTGGTGATACACCATTGGAAGACATTTGGAAGTGATAAAATAAGGGCAGATTTTTGTCGTTTCTTTATAGAAACAGTAACCTGAAAGTCATACTAAATTTTATTGAGAGTCCATCCCTAGGTAACATTAAAATAAGTGTTCGTCTCTCTAATTCTGTCATTTTCGGGAGAAAATCTAGAAAATATGCCAATTAATCATGTAGTTAGATAATTCATTTTATTATCTTCATCCGTGTAGAAAACACCAGAGTGTGAAATGTAACCTGCAAGTTTTATTTTTTATTTTTTCCTAGATTGTCCTCTAAACTGGACTTTAAGCATAGTTATATTTTACATTCTTGGTTAAATTTCCCCTCTGGTTTAATTTTCCTTTAATTTATTTTGATACCTGTTGTATCAAAATGTTATTTGTACTGTAATATTGCCAGTTAGCTGGAGATGAGGAAAATTAAATAAGGTTAATAGATTAAACATACATGCATATGATAATTTGATGTCAATTAATTTGTATATCTGGGAACAAACAGGATGAAAAATATATTTTCGTTATCATTATTATTACTACCACTGACATTCTTCTAAAGGCTATAATATAATCAAGAAGTTTTCAATCTAGATTCCAGCTTTGTCACTTACTACAGTTCAAATTGACCATTTTCTCAAATCCTCTGTTTCTTCATGTATAAAATGGGAGAATTGTTTATTAATTTGTTATAGTGGGGAATGAATGCCAGAAAATATATGAAGCATTTATGGGGTTGCCTCATGCTCCCTCATGTCACTGAAGTTCACTATCTCAGAGGTGTCATTAAAATGTCCTTCTCCAGTGACCCTGCAGCCAATCCTTTGCAAACTCAGTTTTTTAGTTTTTGACTCTATCTTAGTTTTATTGCTCTTGCCCATGTTATCATTTTCATTCCAGATCTTTATCACAGCTTACATGGACTATAGTAGCTGCATCCTGATGAGCCACTCTGTCTCCTCACTTCATCATCCAAAAAGGTTAAACGCAGTAACACCCTTACCTGGTTCATATTCTTTCTTATACCCCTTTTGCTGATTGAACTCAAATGTAGCATCTTAGCATCCCCGGCCAACTACAGTATGGTCTCTCAGTTCATTCCCTACTGCTCCATAGTTTATACCCTGTGATCTAATAAACTGAACTTTTTATTCCTATGCATTTTTCCTTATGCCTTACTTTTGCTCATACTGTTCTTTCTGCCCACAATATCCATTGTTACTATCCATTTCTCATAACCTGTCTCCATGTTGGCACCCACAAACGCACACAGCATTGTTTTACACTGGACTCTCAGAGCCCTTGACTTTCCTTCTCTTATGGCATATATCTTATCTTTTTCTACGTATATGACTGTCAGTCATGTATCTGTCATTTTCCTCCTACTGTACGGTAAAGTCTTTGTTGGGTAAAGATTTAGTCTTATTTACCACTGAGTCCCTGGGAGCATCCAGTGCAGTATACATAGCAGGTAGCCAATGAGTAATTGTCTTATTGAATAGCTGCATCTCAAAGAGCTTTATTTTCCTGTTATTAGACCTGTAGGATTCTCTAGGTGTAAAGATCACAATATTCAGAGCATAAGCTTTAAAAACAGCTATTCTCTCTTGCCAACTGGCCTCTGGAGGAAGCATCAGAGCCACAGATAAGGACAGAGCCCTGTGGAGGCAGAGGGGGAAACATTTATGTTGAAAGAGCTTTTAGGATAGAAGTAGATATTAAAATTAAATGATATAGATTTTAGTTTTATAACTGGATTGTAATAATTTGGTAAATGTAGAGTCTGTCAGAAGTAATCCACATTTGTTCTAATTAGGTTTATAGATAACTGTAACAATTAATAACTTAATCTGGACTTCAGTTTTACTTACCTATTCCCCTCACTCTTCATTGTTACTTCCAAATGAAGTTTTATGTTTTACCACCTTATCTTTTATACACAATATCTATGAACTTTTCTTTATGCCAGCAAATTAGATAATTAACGTGTAGAGGGATGAAATAGTCTTCTCAGCCCTTCTTGGAGTTTCCATCGGATCATTACTTAAGTTGTGATCAGATGATCTCACTTCTGAGAAAACTGTTTGTGGCTTTAGTGATAATTGGCAGGAAAGATGATTACTATTCAGGCCCTCTTGGCCTGTGGGCACCATTGGGAGTAGAGTTGGTACACCTTGGTGCCTTCCATACTAAAGTTCCTCCTGGACTTACAACACCAGCACCTAGGCCCATATGCTGCTCTTAGGACAACAATGCAGTTTGCTGAGGGTAAAAATTCTTCTCTCATCTTATAAATTTGGGTCTCCTCTTCCTCTCCTGTCCACTTTGACCCTTTCCATCTCAGCAAGGCTAGTTTACCAAAGCTCATTTTTTTTTCTGCCATAACAATAATGCTATGTTATAAATCCAGTTATATGGCTGTCATGGAAGGTATACTTAATGAAGAAAAAAGGAGTTCAGATTTAACACTTGGTATGCATCTTTCCTTCTTTCAGCTATAAAGATCAAAATAATCAAAGAACATGATAATCTTTTAAAGACAGATACTACTACTTCCTCTAGCCTCAGGTTGTGTTTTCTTTTTTGTTGATTGCTTGCTTGCTTGTTTTGTTTTTCTTTATTTCCTGTTGTTGAAAGCATGAGAAAGCTATAAAAAAACATTTTGGGATCTGCCAGCTAGTGTCTCCCAGATTTCTATAGCCTGTTTTAAACATTGTAAGAAGTAGTTAGACTGAAATTGATTCTAGTGTTGTGAGCTTATATTGTAAATAAATAGGCAGGATGACGTGGATAACTTACAGAGTAAAATTCAATGATCTCGACTCCTCTGTTTCAATGTCAAATAAATCATCTTTCCATCTTTGGACTGTAAATGTAAGATTTATTCATTGAGTAGATGTTTATTGACTTTATTCCTCCTACCAAGTACTGTTGTCTGAGCTGAAGATACAGAAGTGAACAAAACTGAGTCCCTATTCTTATGAAGCTAACATCCTTGTGTAGCAGACAGACCATAAACAAATATATAACATGGCAAGAGGATAGTTAGAGATGTGGATGTGGGAAGGTACATTTTCATTTAGAGCGGTCAAGGAAAGTATTTGTGGTAAGGTGACATTTGAGCAAATCTGAATTAAATGAGCGAGGGAACCATGTAGATAACTGGAGGGAAGAACATTTTGGGCAGAGGGAACAATAAATGCAAAGCCCTGAGGTAGAAGTGAGCTTGGCTAAGTTAAAATTTTAAAATATATTAAGAATAAAAATTCAATAAATTGAGTGTAATCACTATTCAAGTGTTCTATATTTGCCTCTAAAGCTAAAAAGTGTGCTAACTGAATCTCAGTTAACCTCCTAGAAATTAATTGGTTATTTAGAACAATTAGCAAAAACATTATATCAAGCTTTAATCATTAAAATTTTACACAGAAATATCTTGGTTAATTATCTGTGCTTTTGTTGAGGTTTTATTGCATTTTTATAGTCATCTGTGCTCCAAGAATATGTTCACATTTTTTCTCTAATCCTTCTAATTAAGTTAAAACCACTGTCCTTAGAAAAGACCATTCTTTTAGTCTAGGACCCTTTTAGTAAAAAAAGAAGAAAGTATTCTTTAGAATCTCTTAAAATTGTCAATAGGTCTAACACAGCTTCTTTCAATGTGAGCAATACATTGCTACTGACAAATTAATATATAAAAAGCCTATTGTATTATTTATGAAACAAGTCTCTTGGATATTTTGGTAATTTTATCCTGGTGCTTGAATTTTTTTCAAAGAGATAAATATTATTAATAGTTTTTGGACAGTTGTTCAATATTAACAAAAAGCTATATCTGATACTATATTGGTGCAAAATATCTTTATTTTTAATTCATTCTAGAAGAGTCTTGATGTAAAGACAACTCTAAAATGGCATCTATTCCAGTAAGCAGTATTTTTACATTCTCTATTGAACTATATGGAAATCTTTACCTCTTTTTTCAATTATTTCTCATAATCCTCCTTTATTTTTTATGATTGATTCAAAACAAGAAATTAAATATCGTTATATTTCACTTATTTTTGTTATATGTTTTATTCTATGTGTAAACTAAAATATTTCCAAATCTTTAATGCAGTTATTTCACAGCCTGCTTTTAAAAATAACATATCAATATTCTTGGAAATAAACTTCAGAATTCCAGATGGTTTAATATGTACTAGTTAAGTAACCCCTCAGGGACCATGTGGTTCCATGAGTCTATGTCAAGCCATTGCCATTACACCAAAATCAATGGTGGTTGGAACAATCAAAGAGAAGAATGGCTTTGTTGAATATTGTGAAAACAAAAAAATGCATGAATAATTTGTAATGAGAGAAAAAGACAGAGTGTGCAAATAATTGGAAACACATAAATATATAAGGCAAGATTTTCAAAAATTTGAATTGTACAATGTAACAAAATGTATTTTCTCATATGTTTTAATTAGGCAAATAACCTAGCTCTCTTTGTGAAATGATAGAAAATGCGTCACTTCCAAGGGTACCCATGAAGGATACCATAGGTAGTTTTGGAGTCTATCTCCCTAGTATAAACCATAATGTGATTTATTACTTAAGTAAAGCTGACTTTTCCCCATGGCAGTTGCAACCAGAGGTAAACGTCTCTCATGCATTTCACTCAGTGCCGTTGGTTATTTAGTTTTCTCTCCCCTGTACCTTTAACATCTCTTCTTGTATTTACTCTTTTTCCCTCTCCTTTTGACAACTCCATCCTCATCTGACTATTACACTGCCTGTCTCCTATCCTTGACAGCCACATTTCTTAAAAGAGTAATTACATTCATTGTTTTTACTTCTTCAAGTCCCACACCTTCTTCAACCTATTATAATCTCCTTCCTAGGCATTTCGAAGGTTCTAAGGAAACAAGCTAGGATTTTCATTAGCAAACATAATACACTTTTTTTTTTCTTTTTTGAGACGGAGTCTCGCTCTGTCGTCCAGGCTGGAGTGCGGTGGTGCGATCTCGGCTCACTGCAAGCTCCGCCTCCTGGATTCAAGCCATTCTACTGCCTCAGCCTCCCGAGTAGCTGGGACTACAGACGCCCGCCACCAAGCCCGGCCAATTTTTTGTATTTTTAGTAGAGATGGAGTTTCACCGCGTTAGCCAGGATGGTCTCGAACTCCTGACCTGGTGATCCACCCATCTCGGCCTTCCAAAGTGCTGGGATTACAGGCGTGAGCCACCGCGCCCGGCCCACAGTTTTACATTTGCTTCTCTTATTGTCAGCAGCATTTGACCATGTAATCCTCCTGTTAAAACCTGTCTAATCCCTTAGTTATGATAGCCTTACTTTCTCTTATTTGCTCTCCCTCTCTGGATTGCTCTTTTCCTCTTTCCTCAGAAACCCCATAAACTTGGTATTTTTAGGGTTCTGTTTATACAGTCTCCCTTCCCTCATTCTAAAATTCTCGTGTTCTCCCATAGTGACTTTATTTGTAACTGTGCCTTATTTAATTAATGCTGCTTACATAAATGACTTCTCATTCCTAAACAGACCTTCCTTCTGACCTCCACTATTATCTGTCTGTTCCCAAGCAAAGCCTGGGAGATGTTTCAATATTCTTTCTAACCATCCGTATCTAATCAGCTACTAAGTCTTCAGTTTACCTCCTGAAGATCTCTTGACATTAGGTATCTCTCATCTTTTATCTCCACTGGTGCCATTAGTCATATCTACTTTCCACTGGAATAGAATAATTTCTGTAACATATGTAATGCCCTGTCTTAAAAATTTGTCAGTAGCCACTTATGCCATTAAGAACAAGTACATGTTCCTCAGCAGAGTATTATATCATTTTTGGCTATGTTTATATTCTTTTGTCACTTTACTTTTATTAGCCTTAAGAAAGTCTGTTATATTGGTTGATTCGTTAAAAGTTATGAAATCAGATTACTGGAGCTCAAGTCTAAATTCTGTATGAATTGCACAAGTTATATAGTTCTCCTCTTTGTTTCCTACTAAAAATACCATGAGAATAAAAGTATTTACTTCACAATATTGTTGTATTAAATGAATGCTTGTTAATATTCTTGGCAAATAAATAGGGACTCAAAAATGTTGGCTATTGCCAATTATATGTGGTTTCCATGCTGTTTTATACTATTTCAAAATGTGTGTCTTTGCATAAACCATTTCCCTCATGCAAGAATGTACTTTGACACCTTTGTTTCATCATTCAAGATTTACCTCAAACATTTCCTCTTCTCTGAATCTTTCTCAAAGCACACCTCATCCCAGCTCCTTCCCCTTTACTCAGATTGCTATTGAAATGAAAGCTTTTATGATATTTGAGCATCAGTCAATTATTCACTGTTGTACTGGGTTCATTTTTTTTTTTTTTTTTTTTGTTTCAGACAGAGTCTTGCTCTGTCGCCCAGGCTGGAGTGCAGTGGCGTGATCTCTGCTCACTGCAAGCTCTGCCTCCCAGGTTCATGCCATTCTCCTGCCTCAGCCTCCCGAGTAGCTGGGACTACAGGCGCACACCACCACACCCGGCTAATTTTTTGTATTTTTAGTAGAGACAGGGTTTCACTGTGTTAGCCAGGATGGTCTTGATCTCCTGACCTTGTGATCTGCCCACCTTGGCCTCCCAAAGTGCTGGGATTACAGGCGTGAGCCACTGTGCCCAGCCTGTACTGGGTTCTAATTGTGGACTTCCTTCAGTCTCCTGCATGAGGCTCTAAGCTCCCTGGAGGCATGGCTATGTCATATGCATGTCTAACCCATCACCATTGCTCAGGTGAGAGTAAGACTGAGACTAAGTAGATTCTCAAAAGAATTTGAAGTAAAATGACCAAATAAATTAATGAAAGGCTGGGACATATGTATGCATAAATTAAGCTTCACAGGACCATTTTTCCATAATAGTTTGCCATAAGAAGAGTTTTTGTACGTATTAATTGATTTTTAAAAATTTTCAAACTGCTTGTGGTATTTTTCTGAATGCTGAAATTGACAGTTAATCCATTCTTCCTGACTACCAATAAGATATAGTCTCCAGCTGAGTTTCTCAGTAATACATGAATAGAGAGTGTGCTAGTAATATCACTGATTTGATGAATATGAATATACAAATAGTATGGTTTAGAAATTAATCAAATTTCAAAATTATTTACAAATCTCTGCCTTTACTTTGTATTACCTGAATATAGGCAAAGAGAGAAAAGTTGATTACAAACTAAATTGCCCCATTGGCTTCCTCATTTAACATCTTACACATTTTGTGTAGAAATAATTACTTTACCACATGACCAACTGTACCTTGTACTCAGAACTCTGCATAATATTAGGAAACATTAATATTGATATGATAATTATAGAAATCATCTGATCAGTTCTTGTTTATATTTTAGAGATGGTGAATACTTTTTTAAAAAGAAAGAGGATAAGCAGAAAAGGAAGAAAATGACCTACATATTAATGAAGTCTGTACATTCATCAGGAAGAATTTTCATGTCCCAAATAAAGTCTGTGATTGATTGGTCATCTTTAAATCCTAAAACATCCGAAGAACTGGAAGATCCTGAAGAGTTATTTAGTTCTAAATATAAAGTGCTTTAAAGACAAATTGAGAAAGACATAGGCTTTTAACAAAAGGGAAAATAAACACTTTGGAAAATGAAATTTACTTTGAGTAGCTTTATTTGTCATTAAACTCAGTTACTCCATAAAATAGGCCCACACTTATTCTTTCCTAGACCTAATTGACCTCTTATCAGAAAGTGTTCAGTATGTTTGAGATGAAAAAGTAATCTCTAAGCTTATTGCATTGGTCATTAGCTCTTTTACAGCTATAAAACCAGAAGAGATTATAGATTTTCATCTTTTATACCAACCAGCAACAGAATGAGTGGGTTTCCTTCTGCAGCTCTCATACTCCCTTCAAGAGCTCTCAGCCCATGCAACTGTGAATTGATTTGAAAGCTAAATTATTAACTCATTATACTTGCATCCATCCTGAGTTAGAGTTTGTTCACAGAAAAAATAAGAACACCATGATTCGCCTGTCATTAAATGGCAACTGAACAAATTGCATAGTTCAGCATCTACAGGGACACGTTTGAAGTCATTCAATTGGATTCATATCAATTTCTTGAATAACTGTAAATAGCAGTGCTTTCTGCTGGTAGGGCTTTGGGAGAACATATGTGTTTCTATTTAGTTTACTTAAATGAAACTCTCCCAACAAAGATATTGTTCTCTGTCCATGATACCCACTTAGGACAACAAGGCATTTACTTATGGTTGGTTATCAGTAAAAGTAAATACTTTAAAGGATAGCCCTGGAGAAAGCAAAGATAAGTTTACAAATTTTAAGGCAGTCTTAAAAGCCATTCTTTACATAGGAAAAAATAGGCTGTCTAAATGGACTTGTGCCTGATTTTCCACAAAAGTCTTTCCTCCATGCTGTCTTTTTGTAAGTTGAAAATATTTTATCAAAACATGATAATCTCTGCAGCATTATATAACGAATAACTAGAGTTGGGAATGTAACATGGTGGTGAAGAGCTCAGATTCTAAATCTGTAATTGTCAGTAAACTTGACAATTATTTTTTTACTCTGTGTGCCAGATGGTCATTTGAGCACTGGGGGTATAACAGGTAAGAGACAAAAATTCTTGCTCTTATTGAGTTTACATTTAGGTGATAAGGCAGACAATAGACAATATAAATAAATATGGTATTTCAAATGGTGAAGTACTATGGAGAAAAGCAGCCTGGGAGAAGGGAAAGCTGGTGTGTGTTGGGGGGAGTTGGGGAAGGAGGAAGTGATTCATTTCAACTCTGATTGATTTCTGTTTTAAATAGAGTGGTCAGAGAAATTCTTCTAAGATGGGAGGATTTGTTCAAAGACCTGAAGAAGTAGGATTGCAAGCCATTTAGATTTCTGGTGAACAAGCATTCCCACCAGAGAGAACAAAAATCTTAGTGCTGTCACTTTCTGTGTATGAGACTGAGCAACGATTGATGTTCTCTAAGCTTTAGTTTTCTGCTGTGTAATATGTGGACCATCCTAATGCCCGCCTCAAAGGAATACTGTGAAAATTAATAATGCTGTTATATATGTAGTGGAGATATATATTAAACACTGAATAAATGTTAGGTATTATATTGTTATTTGGGAATTTAGAGTTTTTCTTTCATGTCACTTTATTCAACTCCTTCACCTATTCATTAGTGCCCGGTACGATTCCTTGTTTGAAATAGGCAGCTATAGTGAAAAATATTCTACTGTTTTCAGTGGCAAATACATGTTGAGTGCTTAAGTGCTGAAATATTAGATAGGAGAAAAATTGCTCAAGCTCTTCTTTCTCTGTTTTTAATGTTTTGCTTTACTAAAGTTATATATATAGAGTGTATATATATGTCTTTTTTTAATATAATCTCCTCTCTACTCCCATTTTCCAATCGTCAGAAGCACCTCTTCAACTCTTCAGCTATTTTTCTTGATATTTGCTCCATATACTTCAGTGGCATGCTTACATTGCTGATTCTTGATTTTTTCAATTTTACACATTACCTATTCATTTCCCACAACAAGAACTGGGGATTTGGCTTCTTTCTGCCATCATATATGTCCAGTTTCGATGTCCCTATCTTACCAATACAATTATGTCATACTTTTTGTTAGATCAGTATTGTGTGGTCATGTTGTGACTATAAAGTACTCTTCACAGCTGTACCATACATATTTTTTGTTTCTCTTTGGCTTTGGTTCCCTTTTGTTAATAATGATCTTTTTTATTATTGATTTATTTGTTCACCACTTCATCCCCAAAATTCTCCCTTAGGAGTATAAATTTCGCTGAAATATGTTCCAACTTCAGTGTCCTCTTAGTTGCTGCTTCTTGGAGATGCCTTGCTGGAGCATTTCAATTAGCCATAGTCTGACCTGACTGCTCCCCAGGTCTGCTTCAGAGCTAGCCTTCATCACCGTCACCTCCTAGAGACCCTCTTTGCCTCCTCCCCCCAGTTGAATGCTGTTTGTATATCCCATATATTTCTTATTCTTGCTTTATTCTCTTGTTTTAATAGTGTACATATCCAGGAGCTTCCAGAAAAAGGGGGCATAGGAGATATATTTGGACACTTTTCACATCTGAATGTCTGTTCCACTTACAATTAGTTGCCTGGATATAGACTTCTCGTATGGAAGTGATTTCTCCCTAGGGTTTTGAAGGAATTTCTTTTCTGTGCTTTAGCTTCTAATGTTGCTGTTCAAATGTCTGCTGCCATTCTTATGTTTAAAAAGTTAAACATTTTATTTAATTTAAAACATATAAATATTCATTCATTGACTGGTATTTTAGTTGTAAAGTCAAGTTTATTTCTTTGAATATGAATCCCCGATTGAATTTCCTTATAATCTCACATGAAAAACACCTGTAATGCATCATCTATAATTTGTGTTTCCTGTTCTTTAAAGAGCAGTGGATTCTAGATTTTTCATTTATTGACATGCCCCTTCCAATTTTGACATCCTTTTAAGCTGATCATTTTATTCCTCACTGCTTACCCAGTGTTGTGCTGTTCTGGTAGCATCACCAAAAATTACAATTATGTTTATTATTATTAATTTTTTTCATATTTTATTTTGCTTCTATTATTTGTCTTAGGTTGAATTATTTGGAAGTAGAACCTGAGGTGAGGATTCAAGTAAAAGCAATTTATTAGGAAGTGTTCCCAATTAAAACTGCTAGGAAAATGAGAAAGTGGTCCTGAAAAGGAAGAAGTTCACATATGAGTGTAATATCAAGGATAATGCCCTGAGGAAGCTTTGGAGACAGTGCAGAACACACCTTAGAATTATTCGGTTTACTAGCAGCAGCCAGGTTGTTTACAACCGTGTGCATTTTAGTCACTGGGTAATGGTGCCCTGGGAGGGCATAAATTCCCAGGCTCCCAGGGGTCTGGGGCAAGATGGGATCCAGCAGCTTGAGGTACCTCTCTATGGAAAGCCTTGAGTGCTGGTGTTGGACTGAAGGCACAGCAGGTACTGGTGTTCATGATGATGGTTGAGGAATTTGAGGATATATGAGCAGACCACTGAATGAATTTGCTACATTATTTTATAAAAATTAGCTAATAAGAACCCAGAGTTCTCATGAACACACTACGGCTCACACAAAGATGAGTTGATAATCACCAAGAATGCTGAAAGCAAGATTACTTTGGTCTCAGTCAGGCACTCATTGCTCTTAAATCACTTGGCTCCTAATTTAGATTATGGGGAATAAAACAAACCAAGAGATGTTTTTAAATGCTTGATACATTATTAAAATTGTCTAAAAGGTAAGTGTGATTGATTATGGAACTCTAATATTTTTAGCTCTCCAGGAAATTAATCCTTATAACACCTAAAATTATTATTGGTCAATCCTACATTCTGGTATCACACACGTTTTAAGAACACCCTATTAAATTTTTCAAAAAGTGTTTGTTGAGGACTTACTTGTGCTAGGCACTATTTTTGTTGTTGGAGTTAAAACTTTGAGCAAGATGGACAAGGTCTCTACTCTGATGGAACATAAATTCTAGTGGGTTGAGACCATGAACAAATAATGATTAATAGAAATATGAGATAGTGATAAATACTGTAAAGAAAACAAAATGGAATGAAGTATTATAGAGTATGTTCAAGGAGGACCCCCACCCCCACCCGCCATGGAAGAGCTAATATATATAATCTAAGGCATGAATGATATGAAAGAGCCAAGCATGGGAAAACCTGAGGAAAAATTACTCCAAGGACAGGGAACTCTGGTGCAAAGAGAGGGATGAGGTTGTTGTTAGAAAATCTGAAAGAAATTTATGTATTTGGAGTGTCAGGGCAAAAAGAAAAGATGAGGTTCAAAGTTATTCAGGGCCAAATAATGAAAATCCTTGTAGGCCATGGGAAAGAATTGTGTGTTTCTTTCACTTTGTTTTAAGAGTCATGGGAAGCTATGAGAATTTTAAGCAGTGCACTGACGTGATCTTTATATTTTTGAAGGTTTCTCTGAAGTGTGTATGCAAAATGCAGGCGAGAGGAGAGAAAGGGGAACTTTATAGGAGGGCATTTCTTTAGAATGAGGCATGATACTGGAGTCAAAGAGAAGTAGGCAGATTCTGAAAATTATGTGGAGGTAGAATTGACAGGTTATATTTATGGAGAATAGATAAGGGACTGAGGAAAGAGTGAACTCACAGATTCCTAGGTGATTGTCAGGAGAGACTGGATGGATGGTTGGACCATTTTCTGATCTTTCGTTATGCCTATAATTATCAAGTACAATTGATTTGAAGCAGCATTGCTGTACTCTTTATTGTATGTAGAGTTTAACTATAGGTAAATGCACGCTGTTCATTCAGACCTTTGTGCTTTGTGATGATGATTTTTGCCCTTTTCCTGTTTGTTTATTTATTTATTTATTGTTAAAACAATGTTTTGACATACAGGAGGAGCAAGAAAAAATATCTGCTCATATTATGCCATCTGCTCCTTTTTAATTTCTTTCAAGGAAATTCTCCAAGGGAGTATCTTGTCTCATTGATGCCCATTTCATTGTCAGAGACCATTACATCCCAGGTTTTAACCCTGACCTGTCCTGTGGCTGTCAGAACTGGCTTACTGGAGACATTTTTTTCCACCATGGAGAGCACTTAGCTGTGCATCCTGCCGGACTTCTAGGAAGGAGATGGTTTCCTTCCCTCTTCTGCTGAATTCAGGCTGAATTCCTAAATTCTGGTTTGTGACACCATTGTGTTATATTGTATTTGTAACTCAGTAGATTCATTAATTATTTCTGATTTTAAAAAATCACATGAGAAACATTCCAAATTTTCTGGTTAATCTAAGTAATCTCTTGTCTTTGACTGCTAGACCCTGATCTCAGAAGCATGCCGGCTTGTTTACAGCCCTGACTGGGAAAAGGCATGAGTAGGGGGAAATGGATATTGCACACCATCATTATTGAATACATTTTAGCAGCCATGTGAATTAGAGTAGCTCTTAATAAAGAGCTTGAAGGAGCTTATTTTGGCACTAAGTGAAATAATTCCTTAGAAAACAAAATACTAATGCAATTTTAAAATATAATTCACTTCTCTAGAAATATATATTTTTCAGAATATTGGCTCTTATTAAAATGAGATGCAAAAATATTATGTGAAAAAGGGTTCATAAAAATTGAATTGGCCTATAAAATATTTTTATCACTTCTTCTGATTATAAAAATATGTCTATTGTAGAAAATTGAAAAAATTATAAAGTCATAAAGAAGAAAATAAAAACAACTTGTAATCCCACTGTCAGAAGACAACTGTGGTTACCATTATTGGATAATTCTTTGATCTTTTCTCGCTATTCCTACATACATACATACATACATACATATATATATGTGTGTGTGTGTGTACATACACCTATATAAAGGATATGAATATTTTAAACTATATAGAGATTTTAATGATTTGAGCTCATACTGTTTGTACTATTTTATACGACTTTTCCATATTATTATAGGTGCATTGGAAAATTTAATGACTGCATTATATTTTATATACCATAATATATTTGTCCTGTTTTTCCATTTGGGGACATTTAGGTTGTTTCCATTATTTTTAGAAACTCAGATTTTTCTTTTATAGTAAATAACACTGAAACGAATAGTTTTCTAAACACTTTTTTTTACAGGTTTTCTCACTGTTTCCTTAGCATAAATTCCTAAAATGGAGTTATTTGGTTAAAACGTATGAACATGTAAAGGTTCTTTTTATTTATTAGCAAATAACTTACTATATGCATAAAAGTATGATATGCCTTGTTAATTTTTGCCAACTTGATTTTTAAAAAATGTAATTTGCTTGTTTCCTTTTGCCTTACTTTGATTATTGGTGAGGTTAAACATTTACTCATACATTTATTTACCATTCATATTTATTCTACGAAATGCCATTCATGTTTTTACACATGCTTCTTATTAGTGTTTTTGTGGGGTATCTATATTTTAATGATTGATTTGTAAGGTAGGTATCGTACTCATATTTGTTTTAAGTATGTTTTCTAATCGGACTTTTCTTAAATTTTTTACAAAACGTTATTGATATAGAGAGGTTTTAAGGTTTATATAATTAAACCTATTTGCCTTTTCTTTTGTAGTTTTATCCCATATTTCAGTGCTTAGAGACATTAAGCTGGAAAATATCTACTTGTCTTCTATAGCTTTACTTAAAATTTTAATCAATATAGAATTTATTTGATTTACAATTTTGGATATGCTAAAATAGAATTTTATTTATAATTTTTATTAAACTTCCCTACCTTCATTTGTTGACTAATTTGATCCTTTGTGAAATTTCCTTTACAAAATTGTTTTTGTTATTATTATTATTACTATGTATTAGTACATATCAAGTTCATATATACCCCAGGAAGTTTCAGGGCAGTCTCTCAGTTCTGCTATTCTGTCAGTCTTTCGTATGACCACATTGTTATAATTGTTTCAATATGTGTATATACACACCCAAGTCATTTTTTGGTGTGTTTAGCTATTTTTTTGTTTATTTAGACTACCAGATAAAATAGTTCTGAGACCCTATTTATTTCTTTCACTGGAATTTCATTAAATTTTACTGGTAATTTGCTATAGTCTCAGAAGTCTGTCTGCTCATACATATCTGCAACCGAAAAATATACAATATTTCTCCATTCTTTCAAAATTATTTTTATGTTTCTCTATAAAATTATGTTTTATACATAGATGTATCCCATCATGTTGTGCTCGAATATTTTAGGTTGTTTATGATTTTTCAGCTATTTAGATTATAAGTTGATTTTTGCTTTAACCAGCTTTGCATATACATAGCTGTATTTAGTAGGGATTTTCCAGAGAACAGAACCAATAGGATATGTATACACAAACGGTCATATATATACATACACACACACACAAGATTTTATAAAGGATTTGCTCACGTGTTTATGGCAGCTGAGAAGTCCCACAATTTGCTGTCTGCAAGCTAGAGACCCAGGAAAGCCAGTGGTGTAGTTTAAAAGCCTAAGAACTGATGAGCTGTTGGTAGGGAGTCCAGTGCCAGTCTGAAGGCCTGAAAACAAGGAGCATGGAGGGTAGCAGAAGACTGATACTTTCAGCTCAAGCAGTCAAGCAGAGAGTGAATTGAACCTTCTCCCTTTTTATTCTATTCAAGTCCTCCAGGGATTGGATGCTGCCCACCCACATTGGGGAGGGCCATCTGCTTTTCTCAGTCCACTAATTCAAATGCCAATCTTTTCTGGAAAGATTCTCATAGACATACTCAGAAATAATGTTTAATCTGTGGCCCAGTCTAGTTGGCACATAAAATTAACTGTCATAATTGCATAAACATTAATTATTATAATTTAAACTTTTATCCTGTCTTATTGATTTAAATATATAACTTTTTTCACTTGTTTTTCAGGCACAAAAATTACCCCAAAATATTGATAATGTTATCTTCTCATTTCTAATACTTTTTGCTATTTCATGTCTGATACTGTTGGCTAAAATTTCTAGAAAATTATAATAACAATTAGAAATGTGTTTTTCTTTTGGTCCAGATTTTATTAGAAATCTATCTTTTGTTTTTACTTTTGATATTCTGTGGGCCTAATATTATTTAACATATAAATTATTCTGTTTTTATTTTCCCAGGAAGTGCATTTAAAATCAAGTGTGCATATTAAGATTTATTAAATGCCTTTTTAGTTTCTATTAAATTTGTCACTTTTTCTTTGACCTGTTATTATGCAACATTTGCTACGTAGATTTCTGAATCTTAAACCATCCTTGTATTATTGGGGTATTCCTTACCAGATCATAATAGCTGAAGCTTTTAATGTATTAATGAATTTAGAATACTTATATTTTATGACACATATTCATCTGTAATTGGAATTTTAGATGGGCATATGGAATGTATGGGAAATAGATTTCAAGCCAACTACAATCCTTCAGTGGTAACAAGCATTACTATGTTGAGAATTACTGTGAAGTTGCAGGTTCAGTCCCATGCACTCTAGGTAATGATGGAATGTGCTAAGTGGTGACTGAATGCCCTGTAGACAGAAGTCTGTATTTGTATGCTTTTATCTTTCAAGTCTGCCTCCTCCTGTTCCTGCCCCTGTTCTTTAGTGCTATTTTGAGAAAATGTTGATGTTGGGAGTGGAGTTATGCTTCATTAAATTAATTAGCTAAGTTTTTGAACACATAATCAAATTATGTAGTATGGCCTTTAAAACTCTGAGAAGTTTTTAGTAAACTTTATTTTCTGGGATGGTTTTCGAAAGTAACTTTTAATTATAATTTTTGATAATTATTTTACTGTATTTCTTTGTGATTTGTTCAATTTCGTTAGTTAATTTTAGCTTTTAATAAATTGTAATTATCGCCGGGTGTGGTGGCCTACGCCTGTAATCCCAGCACTTTGGGAGGCTGTGGGGGGCAGATCACCTGAGGCCGGGAGTTCAAGATCAGCCTGACCAACATGGAGAAACCCTGCCTTTACTTAAAATCCAAAATTAGCCAGGCTTGGTGGTGCATGCCTGTAATCCCAGCTACTCAGTAGGCTGATGCAGGAGAATTGCTTGAACCCGGGAGGCGGAGGTTGTGGTGAGCTGAGATTGCACCATTGCAGTCCACCCTGGACTACAAGAGTGAAACTCCATCTCAAAAAAAAAAATTGTAATTATCCAGATTTTCTAGAAAAATACATAATATTTTCTGAGGTAATTTTTCCCTTATAACTTTAAATAACTTTCATATGTACACTTTTCCATTTCTTACTGAATTAGTCATTTCCTTCCTTTTATTAGGTTCAACTATTCTATTATTTTTTAAAGATGTCAGAACCTTTGTTCAGTCAGTTGTCAAGACCTGTCATTGTCAACCTTTTAATTTTGTCCGGACTTCTATTTTTATTTTTATTGCCATTGATTTCTTCAGGCTTGCTTTTTCTTTTCTTGCTTTCCTTTTTTTGGTTTACATTACCAGAACCTTTTAAAACCCTTTTCCTGCAGGCTATACTCCATGTTGTGTTCAGAATAATTTTTCAAACTCCAAATATGATAATATATTCATTATTTAAATTTTTGAATTATTGTTTATCTTCGGGGTAAACTTCAAGTGCTGTAACATGGTTCCACCCACTACTGATGCTCTGAATGCTGCCTGCCTTTCAACTGTTTCCTTTCTTTCTGTACTCTATATTTTGGCATTGCTGGACCTGTAATGCCCATCTCTCCACTGCCTCTCCTTCGTTCTCCCTTCCAACCTCCCCCTCCTCCCTGCACCACTCATAGCCTTGCCTACCTGGTGGCAAACTACTACTCAGAAGTTCACTCCAAAATGACTTCTGCATGGTTGATTTTCTTGCCCTTACTCTCAGAGATAGTACTTTTTCCTACATTCTGCACTCTGCCTTTTTTTCCAATACTGAAAATGAGTGGCTTTAATTTTTTTTAGAAGACTCTGTTTTCTTTAAAAAGCATCTTAACCTCTAAGGCTTAGAAAAGAAATAGTATGTACTATGACATGCAAATAATTGCATTGAGAGTTCTCATGATTGTATTCCTTTTCTAGGCATTGTCATGCTTCTTGGGAGCTGAGTCGAACTGTTGGGGCTAGAAAGTCATCACAGCTATGCCCTCAGTTCAAGATCAAATGGAACTTGATATAAATAACCCAAATGCTTTTTGTGAATATGCTTCATGTCTGCTGCTCAGATGTGTCTATTTATGTAGTATGGTTATCTTGTCTCCAATAGGTAAATCTAAAGGATATAGTTGATCCATAATGCAGAATTTCATATTCTGTCCTGTATGTCCTGGCCCACCCCATTTTGTATTGGGGTGAAGGCTAAGTTGCTATAACAAAGAAATCTGGAATACAGTGGCTTTTAAGAACATATCAATTCTCATTGCTCATGTAATATTCTTGAAATTAGTGCTCCAGGTTATTGACACAGCTCTGCTCCTGGTGATCATTCAGGAGCTCAGGTTCTTTCTACCTTGTCTTTCCACTGTCACCTAATGACATGTTCACAACTAGGACACAAGCACCTCAGTGTTCTAGCTAATAGGAAGGAGGAGCATCTGTTTTGAGAGCCCCCAGCTAAATTGGGGTACCAGTACCAGAGTGACTGGCAACCCTGCCTTAAAGAGAAATAAAGGGGAGCTGGACAGACATGGCTGTTTCCAGTGTACCTTTCACAGGATACTTCTTTCACATAGTGGACAGCCTGATGCCTATTTGTCCAACTTGTGACCAGGGGATCCTTCACACAGACAACTTGTTAATATTGGCAGATGCCCTTATGACTCTTGTCTGACCTGTGTTCAGTTTATACTTGCCTGACATTGCTCTGGTGCTGGGAGCCTGAGCTCATGTTCTCCCTGGTGTCTTGGGGGAAGCCCAGGCTGGGGAGTCCCTGGTTCTTCAGATGGATAGAGCAAATTCAATATACTACTGCAGTAGGAAACAAGTTCAAAGGTTTTTACTTACAGATCCTGGGCGAGAAGGGCACAATGATTTGGGTAGAGCTGAGAAGAGTCAGTCAGGGAGAGAAGAGCACGAGGCATTTTGCAGTATATGTAAGGGACTAGAGCATGGATCATTAAGTTCTCACTATTAAAGGATAAAGCAGGAAAGTAGGGATCCCAGTTTGTTAGGTGGGAGAGAAGTTATCTCTGTCCACTGGCTTGTGCCATTTGGGTGTGGCATAGAACTGGAAATATGTCAAGGTCTAGTGAGCCCTGCTGCTGATAGAAGAAAGTTAAATTTCTATTCCAAATGAATGCCAAAGCTACATAAAATTATAAGAATTCACTACAGGATCCCAGGCCCAGAAATGGCACATGTCACTTCTGCTTGAATTCATTTAAAGAGACCTTAGTTGCACGGAAATACCTGCATGGGAGGCTTAAAAACATAGCTTGGCAGCTGTAGCACCATTACTGGTTAAGGAGAGAATGGATGGTCCACTAGCCACTGCCATCACACATCTCTATTTCAAGAACTGCGTATTTGAAAATAATAGTTTGGGCCTTAATGTATTAAAAGGAACTCTAAAAGATGGAAGCACAGAATGTATTATTGCCTTTATTTTAAAACTACCAGTTAGTTAGAACTTATCAGAATAAAAATATTGCTTATTTAATGTATCTCAATATGCTTTGATTGAGTCACTTTGGTGTAATGCAAGGTTGAAGTAATGGTTTTCAGACCGTATAACCATAAAAAATAAAGGTGTTTAAAATTTTTCATCTTCAATTCCTATGCAACTGTAAAAAGCTATCTTTGATAGAGTGGCAAATATTTCTCTAAAAGCAACTAATTCAGAGATATTCTTTAGTCAGCTTTAGTGTGAATGAAAAGAATTAGCAAATATAATTCTGTAGATTTTCACCAAAGTTATATTACAGGGTGGGCAAGGCTGTGAGCAAGAAAAAAGCTTAACAGGAACCACAAATGGTGTACTGAGTTAGGTGTGACTAGGGATTTTGTCACCTAGGCTGTTGGGCAGTAGCACCATCTTGGCTAACTGCAACCGCCACCTCCCCGGTTCAAGCGATTCTCCTGCTTCAGCCTCCCGAGTAGCTAGGATTATAGGCGGCCACCACCACACGCAGCTATTTTTTGTACTTTTAGTAGAGACGGGATTTCACCATGTTGGCCAGGCTGGTCTCGAACTCCTGACCTCAGGTGATCCGCCCACCTCGGCCTCCCAAAGTGCTGGGATTACAAACATGAGTCACCATGCCCGGACACTAGGGATTTTATTCTAAAGAATTAGTCAGAAAAATAGAAACAAGTTTGTAAATAGCAAGAATGGCTTCTTCTCTTCCAACTGAATGAGAATCCAAGGAGGGCAGAAGGACAAGCAATACAGTATGTTAAATGAAATGCAGTTTACAGTGAAAACCGATGGAGTGCATCTAGTGTCATAATTTGGATTGCTCAGTAAGGAACTAGTTTGGTGTCACTTCTATAAAGATGTATTAGCCAATGGATCGCATAGAAAATGCATTATCTTCCATTCTTAAGGAACTGTTTTTAGAGTCTGTTTTGTGTTTATGCCCATTTTAAAATGTTTTCTATTTGTGGATTTCATATATAATGATTTATCATAGTAATAAAAAAGATGGGAGTTCAAAGCATGAAATCATATTAGGATAGCTCTCTGATGACTGATATGACAGAAAGATGAGACTGATGTTTCATTCTGTAAAGCACTATCATGACTTAGCTATGAAACAAACTCATAAATATGTTAGATTGTGTGTGGACATTCTTTCATACATGAATATGACACTTTTAGTCATATTCTGTAGATCTTTAACATGGTGCATTACCTAAAATTCAATATTATTATTTTTAAATTTCAATATACCGTATTACTAAAATAGAAGGGTGCCGTATCTTAAAATCTGGATTAGCTTGTATTTGATTCATTGTGTTTGAACTCACATAATGGATAAACTAAAAATCTATGAATATTTTTGAGAAATTAAAGAGATTGTTAAAATTTTTCATGTCACTAATCAGTAATTTCCACTGTCTGTTAGGACCAACCTCCGCATATTACTCACTTTTATGTTGTGTTTTAAATTTTTGCACAATAAAATATATCAAATATATATTTAAAATAAACATATGTATATGTAGTCATAACTTGGATAAACCTAGGTACAAGACATTCAGGGACTTTGGCCATTAATTATGAAAAAAAATCACTGCTTTAGATATAAGGTTGAAAAAGATGGCATGAGTCGCTTTACATCCCATTTTTAATTATGAGATCAACTTATCACTAATGTCCTTTCAAACCACCCTAAAATGGGGACAATTATTTCATCTTGATTTCCAATGATTGTTTTTAAGTCTTTATGTAAAATTAATAGAAGGAGGTAATTTACAGGTCCTGTTAATGAATTTGAATGCAAAATACTGTGTGTATTATTGTTAATTGACTTTAATAATAGTGTCATACATTATTTAAATTGAATTTATATTTTATTTCATATATGTGTATGTTTGGGGGACATTTTTAATAACTTACATTTGAGTGAAAATGCAAAAATATTTCTTCCAATAAAAATGTTGCCAGTTTTCTACTGTGTCACTGCTGTCATTGTGTAAAGATTTGATAACTGGAATTTTACAGCACAAATTTGTAGTCCATTAATTATGATGATTTATTCAATATTTAATAAGAGCATCCCAGAACCTTATAAAAGTTGAAATGAAAAGACCAATTGTTTAAGGAGAAGAAAAACAAAACAAAACAAAATATGTAGATGTAGTTGGTTCCACATAACTGTTTCTCATCATGTTCAGTAAATTCACAGAACACCACAATCAGCCAGAAACTAAGCTGGTGAAACGGTGAGCCTTCTTGTTTGGTCTGGGGTGTGTGTGTGTGTGTGTACGTACATGTGTGTGTTTGTATTATACACGCATTGATATGGTTTGTGTCCTTGCCCAAATCTCATGTCAAATTGTAATCCCCAGTGTTGGAAGAGGGGCTTGGTGGGAGGTGGTTAGATCATGGGGTTGATTTCTCCTTTGCTGTTCTCCTAATAGTGAGTGAATTATTATTATTTTTTTGAGACGGAGTCTTGCTCTGTCGCCCAGGCTGGAGTACAGTGGCGTGAACTCGGCTCACTGCAAGCTCCGCCTCCTGGGTTCATGCCATTCTCCTGCCTCAGCCTCCCAAGTAGCTGGGACTATAGGCACCCGCCACCACCCCTGGCTAATTTTTTTGTATTTTTAGTAGAGACAGGGTTTCACCGTGTTAGCCAGGATGGTCTCGATCTCCTGACCTCGTGATTCACCCGCCTCGGCCTCCCAAAGTGCTGGGATTACAGGCGTGAGCCACTGCACCCGGCGTGAGTGAGTTCTTGTGAGATCTTGTTTTTTAAAAAGTGTGTAGCGCCTCTTCCTTCTCTCTCTCTTTTTCCTGCTCCAGCCATGTAAGATGTGCCTGTTTCCCCTTCACCTTCTGCCATGATTGTACGTTCCTGAGGCGTCCCCAGTCATGCTCCTTGTAAGCCTTCAGAACCACTAGCCAATTAAACCTCTTTTTTAAAAAAAAATTTTTTTTAAAATTTTAAAAAACCTCTTTAAAAAAAAAAATTACCGGCCAGGCAATTTAAAAAAGAGGTACATTTTAAAAAAATGTACCTCTTTTTTAAAAAAAATTGGTGTCAGGCGCCTGTAGTCCCAGCTACTCGGGAAGCTGGGGCAGGAGAATTGCGTGAACCTGGGAGGCAGAGCTTGCAGTGAAACGAGATCGCGCCACTGCACTCCAGCCTGGGCGACAGAGCGAGACTCTGTCTCAAAAAAAAAAAAAAAAAAAAAAATTACCTAGTCTCAGGTATTACAGTTTTTTAAATTATTATTATTTTTAACTTTTATTTTAAGTTCAGGGGTACAAGTGCAGGTTTGTTACATAGATAAACTTGTGTCTTGGGGATTTGTTGTACATATTATTTCATCACCCAAGTATTAAGCCTAGTACCCATTAGGTGTTTTTCCTGATCCTCTCCCTCCTCCCACCCTCCATCCTCTGAAAGGCCCCAGTGTGTGTTGTTTCCCTCTATGTGTCCATGTGCTCTCTTCATTTAGCTCCCCCTTATAAGTGAGAACATATGGTACTTGGTTTTCTGTTCCTGTTGTAATGGATAATGGACTCCAGCTCCATCCAGTCCGTGCAAAGAACATATTTCATTCATTTTTGTAGCTGTATAGTATTCCATGGTGCATATGTACCCCATTTTCTTTATCCAGTCTATCTCTTTATAGCAGTGCAAGAACAGACTAACACACACACATTTTTGTTCCTTTTAAGGAAACAAACATAGGAATAAAGTAGTAATTGGAAAGACTGAAGTAGTAACTGAAAGATTTTGCTAAGCTCTCTGCGTATGTGGGTGGGTGTGTGTGTTTCTTGAAGTAATCTCTTACACTTCTAATTACCCCTAACACCATAGATTAGTTTAATTAATCCTCTAATAATTTGGCCTAAGAGAAATTTAGCAATGATAAGGTAGTGACAAAAATTGGTTATGATTTCTACATTTTTGTATTTCTGATAATTTGTTTAGATATTTTTTAGGTTAACAGTTTACAGACAGTAAAATAATTCATTACAAACATTACAAACACTTCATGTCCACTGGTCATGATACTAGATAAAACTTTCATTCAACATGCTGAGATGACCAAGTCTGTGACAAATAAAAATAGTACTCTATTTTACCCTAGATTACTATTTCAGCTGAGCAACAACGTCTTGATTATACCTCGATCATTTCAGTCATTTTAACAGTGTCTATATTTTTAGTTAATTGATTGTAGTAAATATAGCTAATTCTGTTGATTATTTATCACTGTTCTATATGCCTATTAGAGTTCTCATTATCTCAGGTGCAGTTTTAGGAGGCAGTTTTAACCTATTAAATTCACAAGGTTTGGTCCAGTTTTAAGAGACAGAAAGAAGTAATAATATACTCACAAATTAGACTTTTAAAATACTTTACCTGATTTGGGGCCTTTTAATATATTTAATCATTTAGCAATGTATTAACATTTTTGTATGCATATTTATCCCTAAGTCATGTATTCTGGATGCCTTTGTCTTCTTTCTGAACAATGTCAAATAGTTCCAGTGTGATTTCCCTTTTTAATTAGGCTGCAAGGACAGTTGGCCCCTGATAGGATTACGGGATGGCTTTGTATAAAATTTGCTTCTGATTAGCAGCTCCAAGACTTTGACATCCTACAGTTTTGATCTTTATCTCTTATCAGTTGTTCTGATAGCTCCTCTACAATAACTGTATTTCAGCCATTTCTAATGCATTGGTATTGAAAAAGGAAAAAAGATGTTTAGGTAGGAATTTTTGTCATTGATCAGATTTTGTATGTTTTTGTTTCCTTAAAAATTTTTATATTGGAAATAGTTCATATTTAGCTTGAAAATATTCTGGCATAAATAATTAACATGATAGGAAAATGATCGTGGATAATGGAGTTTTAAGAGCAGTTAGGAATTACCCTAAATTTTAAATTTGAGACAAATGTGTTTTCCGTGATGCAAGAACTGCTGCCAGTCTAAGGAAGTACAAGAAAGAGATTTTTGAATTAGTGAGCTATATAAAATTGTCCTCACATTGATTTTCTAAAGTAGCCTGCCAATCAGAGGTCATTTTTAGTTCACCATTGCCTCTTACTTAGTATGAATTTTCCATTTTGCACACAAATATAAGAAATACAATTTAAAAAATGGTACATTAGGAAAGCTAAAGTACTTTACTTGACTCTTAGTTTACATTGCCTTAGTGACACCAGCCAATGAGGAATGAAAAATCCAGGTGAGTTAGAGCAATGATCAAAAGAAAAAAAAAAAAAGAACAAGAGTCCCCCCAACTAGAAGAATACAATTAAAAAAAGAGGCAGTACACATGGTTAATAAACAGATGAAAAAATTAAAATTCACTTGTACTATAAGACAGGCAGATTAAATTATTTTTACCTATCAAATTAACCAGAACAAAGGCATGCACTTTAGTGAGGATGAGGAACATACAGATTCACTGGTGAAAGTAAATGTACACACAACCTTTCAAGTTGATAGTTTGGCAGAAGTTGCTAAAAACATTTAAAGCTTTCATACTTTTTGATAAGGCTTTTTATTTTAGAAAACATATAAATAAAAAAGAAGAAATACACACAATGATTTCTTTATAAGTATATATTCATAGAGTATTATATTACTTCCACATGATGGCATATTTTGCAGGCATTAAAGTGATATTGAAGAATAGTAAAGAAGCACACCCAGTACATAGTGTTAAATAAACAAGGACACCAAATATATATACCTTAGTATCTAAGTCCTGTAAAAATATGTGTTTACATAGGAAAAAACTTAGAAGGAAAATGCAGAATGCATCAAGTCTGTGTTTTCATCTGGAACTATGAATTTCCTACAACAAGCATGTTAATTATACTGAACTAATGAAAATTGCTGATTAAACAAAGAAGTGAATGCTAAACTCAAGCCAATATATAACTGCTTTTCTATGTAGAACATGTTAACGGAAAGGGGAAGCATATAAAGTTAATTTTTGATGGAAATGTTCACAAAAGTAGCCAATCAATTTAATAAAAAGAAAAATCAATCAGTTGGTCAGTTCTTTCAGAACAGTAAAACATTTTGTCAGTTGCCCCAACTACAATTATTCCTCAATTGACTGTATTGATAAGCTGCTTTGAAGTTGTTTAGACGCGTTTTTGGAGAAAAAAATATTGTTGAAAAATACTTAGTGAAACTTAATAACAGGGCACAGTGGGAGATCATTAAAATGAATCCTCTTGCTTGGTTGAGGCAATGTATTGGAATGCAGATCTTACTGATTTACTGCAAATATCTGTATGAAAGTGAGCCCATATATTAAAATCTGTGTATTATAGAAGCCAGAATACAAGCCTGTTTGATGTAGTTGTGATGAACAACAAAGTTAATTAGACTATTTTGTAGTTAGTGGGTCATCTTTAGATTTCTTTCGAGCATTACAAACAAATTCATTAACTAATGACATTAACTATTTTATGTCCCTAGTGGGCACTTAGAAGAAGAATTGACAGTTCAGTACTTTGCCTCTAAGCTGCTGGTAATGATGAGTCTGTATTTGTGACATCTAGTGGAAATAGATTATCCATTCACGAGGTCTACACTCAGATATGACATGCTATTGTTCTTCATGGTTAAGAGGCATACTTTTTCCAGCTTTCACTTTATTGCGTGACTTATTCACAAAGTTTCTTTACAGTAACACTGTTTTAGCACACTTATCTTTACATATTGCAGCCATTTTCCACAGTAAAACCAGATGGAAAAATCAGGGATAATTGGTGGCAAGCTGTATCAATTAAAGGGTATTAAATCTAAAGCAGGTCGAGCTGTGTCCTTTTCTGTGTACCTTCAATTCTTGGTACCTTCAGTTCCTGCACACCCAGTTTTTGGCACCCTGTTGCTCATGCTCTCAACCATTGTAAATACATTGAAGGTGAAAAGCTCTAAATTATAGAATATTAGAGGAAGATGAGATCTTACCAAAGATCTTCCATTTTCCTAATGAGACATCAGAAGTCCAGAAAATTTATGGAAATTGCCTAAGGTCAGATGTAGTTAGTGACAAAATTAGAATTAGACTTTTGTTCTGTTGCCCTATTATCTATCATTTCCTTCTGCTTTGAGAGACTGCAGATGACTCCTTTCAATAGAATGGTGATTAAGACCATGGGCTGGGGAGCCTCATTTTCTTGGTTCACATTAGAGCCCTATTCCTTACTAGCTCTGTCACTTTGGGCAATTTACTTAACCTTGCTGTTCATCAGTTTGTTTTGTACAATGATGATGAGAATACTACTCGTATTGGTAATTGTGAAGATTAAATGACCTAATATTTGTAAAGTGTATAAAATAGTGCTTGGTATAAATTAAATGCTCTATATAAATATAAATATCTAGAGTAAATTAAATGCTCTTTAAAATATAAATATCTAGAGTAAAAACAATCTAGACAAAGAGGACACATTATCTCTTATGTATAGAATGTTGTTTTTAATATTGCAGCCAAAATGTGCTTTAATATTACTAATTTAATATAAAGGAAACATAGGCACCATATCACATGAGTTCTAAAGATTAATGGAAGTCATATGTGATATCTTTGGTTAACATCTTCAGCTCTTACATTTTCAAACACACCCTTCACTTTCCTATTGCTTAGAATGCTTTTTACTTGGGCCTCTTTTGAATTGATGGTTTTTAAAATGCACTTTTAGATAACAAAGGTAACATTTTAAGTCTTAGAAAATGTACAGAAGGAGCATAAGGGAGAAAATACTGAGCTATGTCTAAAACTTAATAATGCTTAAGTTTGGTGTCTTATAAATCAGCCTCTGTTAATATTGTATTTTTGGTCTTTTGTCTCTTGCCACAATAATCCCTGAATATTGTCATTCTACAAACAATATCAAATCAATATTAAAGTTCCTATAGAATATCTTAAATTTAAGAATATATTCCTTTGTTCGCATTTTTTTAAAAAGCAACTGGTCTTTGTTTTCTTTGGTTTTAGTACTACATTTCTACCTAGTCAGCGGCCAAATAATCCCTATATATTTATTCCTTTCAAATGACCTCCATTTGCAGAGAATATTTTAGGGGTAAGTTTTAACTATTTCTCTTAGGGACTGTCCATACTTGAGAAAAACAGCCTGAGGCTTAACATTTTCTGTGTATGTTTGAAATGGCAACTGCACCGTCATGCAGGCTTCATTCTTGAGCTATTTTCAGCTCTGGCTGCTTTTAAAACCAAGTGGAGAGTGAAGCAGCAGCTACAGCAGGGCGAGCTGTATCATGTACTTTCAAGTGTAGACCTAGCCTTAAAGAACAATCTACTGAATGGCATTGAAAGGATAAGACCCAGAAGAGATATTATTTTCTCTATTTTAATGCTTTCTGAGTGCCTTGAAAGTGATGCTTGACCTGTGTATCATAAATCCAAACCAGAACATTTTAGAAGAGTCATTTATATCTCAGCTTTTCATGCTTCCATTGCAGCCCATGATAGTGCATTTCATCATATTATTAGTTAGACTAAGTGCCTCCTAGGGGGCATTGTGACTTGACATATGCGGAGCTGGTTGATCTGAATGGCATATTCTAAGTGAGATGTCCTGCTTAAGTCACTAAGAATGGTTTCAGGGAGGGCAGTATATTTTGCCCTTTTCTACCCCAGAATGACCTGAAATGACAGCTGGGTTCATTCTGCTGACAGTGAACCTCTTGCTCTGCCCGAACTTAGGTTTCTTAGAGGAAAGGAAAGAAGAATCGGTTTTGTAACTCATTTGCTACTGGTGACATGACAGGCTGACTCCATGTGAATACACGATTCAGAGAATGCAAGGAAGAAGAGGAAAACAAGCATTTTGGGCCAGTGGGGAAAGAGTATCACCCTACATTTTAAATGAGTGTCCAACTTACTTCATATAAAAGAGACTCAGAGAAAAGGTTTATTTCAGGCCTTTTGTTGAAGTAATAGTTTACACAAAGGAGAACATGGTTAAATAAAGCACTGATTGAGTCACTGAGTTTTGAGTAAGCTTATAGCTACTCATGAAATTCAGGATGTTATTAGAAGTTAGGGAGCATATAATTCATACCTTCTCACCTTTATGTTTTCACCTGTCTTAAAAGAGTTTCTGTTTCTTCCTTGAATTTAAAAATAAAACCAGAACATTTAATCAGTGGTCGAAATATTTTAATTTTCTCTTAATTTGGGGGTTGGTTTTTAATTTTTTAGTTATTTGTAAGCCACAATGATGGCAGAAGATGACATAATTTGTATGTAAGGATTGCCACTCATCTGCATGTGTTCAGTGAGAAGAACCTACCACTCATCTTTGGTTCACCTCATTTTCTTATTCATATTTGAAGTCCCCTGCAATGGTCACAGAGGAATTAGGATGCTTTTGTTATCTCATACTGGCTTAAAAAATAGAGCAGTTTATTACCTCATGTAAAAAGACATCCACTGGTGGAGTAGACTCCTTGGTTGGATGATTTTGCATTCATTATATCATCAAAGATTCTGATTTTCCCCCCTTTCTTCCCTGTCATCTTTGGAGTTTCAGTCTTGTCCTCAGGCTCCTTCCTCTTTTAGTTATAAGACTACTCAAGCAGAAAACTAGGACAGCACATTCTCTATTTATAGTAGTGGAGGATGAGGTGGAAGGAAAAAAGGACATCTTTCAAGTCCTTAAACATCTTTCCTTTTGTCTGATTGACTCCATCCTGGACCAAAATCAGTAATGGGGAATACTATGAGCCAATTTGCTAAGTAGCATCACCACCGAGAGCTGGTAATGCAATTGATAACAAAATGAAATGGGTTCTTTAGAAAAGAGGAAAGAAGAAATGCATGTTGGGTAAGTAGCCATCAGTGTTTATTTCAATCCGAGGCCTTATGTGAAAAATAGTACAAACCATTTTATATCCATTAGGATGGCTATTATTAACAAAACAAAACAAAAAATACAGCAAACCCAGAAAGTATCAAGTGTGGGCTAGCATGGGGAGAAATTGGAACACTCATGCATTGCTGATGAGAATATGAAAGGGATAGTTACTATGGAAAGCAGTTTGGCAGTTTCTCAAACAGTTAAACATAGAATTACCATGTGATCCAGCAATTCCCCTTCTAGATATATACTTATAAGAATTGAAAACAGGGACTCAAACAAATACCTATATACCAATGTTCATAGTAGGTAAAATAGCTACTCACAATAGCTAAATTTTGGGAACAGCCCCAGTTGCCATCAACAGATGATGGATGGACAAACAAAATGTGGTGTATGCATACAATGGGATGCCATTTAACCCTAAAAAGGAATGAAATTTTCTTACATGCTACAACATGGATGAACCTTGAATACATTTGCCAAGTGAAAAAAATCCAGACACAGAAGGACAAATGTATGATTTCACTTTATAGAGTGACTGGAATAGGCAAATTAATAGAGGGACAGAAAATAGAATGGAGGTTACCAGAGACTGTGGGGTTGGGCAAATTGAGAGTTGTTTAATGGGTACAGAGTTTCTCCTGGAGATCATGAAAAAGTTCAGGAAATATTGGGGATGATGATACAACACTGTGAATGTACTTACTGCTATTAAAGTGTAAACATAAATGGTTAAGATGGTATATCTTACGTCTATTTTACCACACACAAAAAGCAATGTAGAGCCAACGGGATATCATGTGTTGGTAACATCACGAGCTTGGAAATAAGATACAAGAATCAATAAATTAGTGTCTCTTCACTCTTTTTTTTCCTTACTCCTGCATACCAAGGGAAAGTGGAACTGAATGTGGACTGTGGGTTGAATGCTGTTCAGCAATACTTAGTGCTCTAACTTCCAAAGACCAGTGCCCAAACATTGGTGCTTATTCCCCATAGGAAACATGGTCTCTTTAGCTGTGTAAAGTTGTGATAAACCAACTGACTGCAGCCATTCTTTTAAAACAAAATGTAATCGCAATTATAAGCTTTAGCAATAAACAGAGGGCAAAATGATCTACGTCGTTCTATGTGTTTCTAGTCTTCATATTTATTCTCAGATTTTCTCGTCAACAAACCAATAAGCTAAAGGTTGGAGTATAATGCCAAATTTCTATTTCTTGCTTTACTTTTTTTGAAAGAAATAAAGAATAGATACTAAAATAGAGATGAAAATAGCCTTATTATTGGTTGTCAAGCACTTTCTCCATGAAGCAGGGCTCTGATAAACTACATAAAAGAGTGAGGCTCATACCTAAAACCTAGTTATGCTTTTATCTCCTTTGGAGCAGATCTGTGGATGAGGCCAGTTTTTCAGGACAAATTTAATCAGTCTCACATATTCAGTCTCAGAGAACCTGGAAGAGAGAGAAAATGGTGTTTTTTATTTTCTCAGAGAAAGAAAAAATGGGGAGGTCCTCCCCAGGTGTGCCTAAAAGTAAAAGAAAGTGAGGGCTCCATTACACCTGAACACAGGCAGGTCAAACTGCATTACATACTTGGCCCCAGCCACAAATGTGCAGTGCCCTTTAACATATGAATCTAGATCATCTGCTAACAAAACATGATTCAATGACTGTATTAGTCCATTCTCACGCTGCTGTGAAGAAATACACAAGACTGGGTAATTTATAAAGAAAAGAGGTTTAATTGACTCAGTTCCACATGTCTGGGGAGGCCTCAGGGAAATTACAATCATGGTGGAAGGCACCTCTTCACAGGGCGGCAGGAGAGAGAATGAGTGCAAGCAGGGGAAATGCCAGATGCCTATAAAAACATCAGCTCTCATGAGACTCGCTATCATGAGAACAGCATGGGGGAAACCACCCCCATGATCCAATTACCTCCACCTAGTCCCAACCTTGACACGTGGGGATTATTATAATTCAAAATGAGATTTGGGTGGGGACACAGACCCAAACCGTATCAATGACTATCAGGTTTTCTGCAATCAGATTAGCTGCTCCTCCTTCCTTAGGGAGGAAGGAACATACTTTTTAAATATTCATGGAGTGAGGATGGAAACAAATGTAGATTTGTATCTAACAGTTAAATGCATACTTTGTGGGAAGTGGTCATACAGACTAGCATGTACAGATGCTAGTCAGTCTGGTGAAGGGGCTCTCCACCCCAATCTGTATTCTTGTTCGGCACTGTCCTAAGGGTGAAGGTCAGATGCCATATACCTCAAATTTCTTGCCTTGATATTGATTGAGCTCAATCATCACGTATTTTTTTCTGAAATAAAGTTGGGCAACAAGCAGAAGGCAAAATAAACTGAAGTTCTGTGATGCTAACTAGAAAGTAACTAAATGAATTTTAAACCTTTCTGTTGGATATAGGACATTCTTGCGTCTGTTTTCAAATAATTGTTATATAAAATTTTTAGCTCTTACTGCTCTTTCACTGAAACTCATTAATATAGGATGATGACTTGCTCCACGAACTTCTTTCAGTTCATACTTCTTTTTCCTTATTGTGTTGAAAACTCAAAGGAATGTATAATATTATAGAATATATATATTTTTTAAGACCAGGTCTCACCCTGTCACCTAGGTTGGAGTACAGTGGTGGGATCATATTTCATTGTAGCCTTGAATTGCTGGACTCACATCATCCTCCTGTCTCAGCCTCCCAAGTAGCTAGGACTGCAGGTTCTTGCCACTGTGCCTGGCTAATTAAAAACAAAAATTCTTTTTTAGAGATGGGGTCTTGCTACCTTGCCCAGGCTGGTCTAGAACTTATGGCCTCAAGCAATCCTTCATCCTTGCCCTCCTATAATGGTAGGATTAAAGTCTTGAGCCACTACTCCTAGCCTAATATAGAATCTTAAAGCTCTAAAAGATAAAAACTCTCTGGTCTTGTTGATCCACTCATTTTAAAGGATTAGGCCATTGAGGCAATTGATGCCTGCAGCTTGTAAGTGACATGTTCAGTGTCCTGTGGCTATATAGTGGTAGAGCAAAGCTCAGGGCTTAGGTTATTTGTCCTTTTAAATTAGAATTTATTTAAATATTCAAATAAAAGGCAGCTATGAAGCCTTAAAAGTACAGATCTATAATGTGAAAAGATCACCCCCAACCCTTGGCTTTCATGCCCATTTTATCCCTGTAAGATGTCTGGCAGGGATTATTCCAGGGGGAGGAGGCCTATTTGGCCAGGGCCTCAGTTCACAGAAGGCCCAGTATCTTAAATTTAGACTTTTGAGCTTCTCTCTATAGGAGGTTCCTTAGTCCCAGGGATTAACTGATGGATTTAGAGAAGATTTAGAGAAGAATTTAGGTTCATTTATCTTAAAATTTTAAACTCAAGTTTCTTCTGAATTTTATAATTTTGTTTGGGTACTACAAGTATATGTCCTGTTGTTTTTAAATTAAAAGTGTTAATGTGTTTAAATGTAGACATATAACATTTATTTACATTTTTAAACCTCTGTTTGGCATTTTTTTCAGTTTTTTTATGTTTTTCAGGTGTCTCAAAAATGGACAGTGCTGGGATATCTCTTGAGCCCTGAGCTGTCCTGTTCATGGCTGGTGACTGCAAAGCCTGCTTGGCCAGGCAGAAGCTGTTCACTGTGGGTCAGCGAGTGCCACTGTTTGATAGCTGTCATTGTTGGAAATTTCAGCTGTTCAGATCCTAGCCTTCTGAATCCTTATAGGCTTTTGGAATTATTTGGGACTCAAGAATAACTCAACGAAATCTAGAAACCATTATGTTGATAGAGAAACAGAGGAAACAAATGGCAGAGAAGAGCACAGATTGTGAAGGTTAGAGAAGGTGTATGGATGGGGCATAGATTAGCTGTCGATGTTTTCAAAGGATCTGTAAAACCTGAGAAGCATTCAAGGAAGGAGATGAGGTAGAAGCTACCAGAAAAAGCAAAGCAGAGGGAAAAAAAGGAAGAGTGGGCAAGGAAGAGCACCAGTCATGGAGAAAGAGAATGAGTGAGAGGGACAGCTCTTGGGGGACTTTCCAGGAGATGAAACCGAGAATCTTGGATCATTAGTCATTTATATCCCAGGATTCTCTAAAGGAAACTCATGTGTCTACAATGAGTATGTGAATGCGGGGAAGGGGCAGGGGATGAAGGAGGAGATTCCCCTGAACTCAACCTCTAAGGGCAATCAAAAGCCATGGCAACCGTAGCAGCTCAGCACACTACACAAGGGGAATTTGGCTGTTTTGATACCATTATAATATATCAGTCAGGCTAAATTGATTGAAAGAAAAGATCCTCTCAAGTTACCTCGGGAAAAAGATGTATTTTAAAGAAATACAGACCGGAAGTGGATCTATAGCGCCCTAGAGGCTCAAGGCATTTATAGGGATTGATGGGTTTCTCTTGCTCCAGTTCCTTCTCCTCCCCTACACCCCTTTTTTTTTTGCCCTTTCCTGCCCCTCTGTCCTACTGTTCTGCTGCCTCCTCCTTCTTACAAACTCTCCTTCCCTTTCTTCTCTCTTTCCTCAGTTCTCTCTTTCTTTCTGTCTCTCTCTGTCTCTCTCACACAGACACACACACACACACACAAGAACACACACACACATACACACAGCAACAGCAGCAGCAGCAGCAGCAGCAGCTCTGCTTGTGGTTCTCTTTGCCCATAGATTTCATTGTTTTTTTACTGCCAGCTGACTACATCCTCCTTCTTTCCATGTCTTTTTGGGTCCCTCCAAATTTTGTATTACACATGGCATTATTTCACCATTAGGTTACTACTGACTGGCATAGTTTCTTGTTTTTTCCCTTGATATATTTTGAAAACAAAGAATCCAGCTAGCTTAGCTTACTCTTTCAGATCTACCTATAAAGTACATCCTATGCTATGAATCAGCTGTCCATCCATCTAGTGCTGATTCTTGGTCTACTTACCTAGGGACAGGTTAGGGTCACAGGAACATGAAATGTGGATGCTTAGACAAAGAAGACTGTAACTAGGGTGGGGAGTTAGCCAGAAGAGATCCTTTGACAGCTCTAATGCAAACGTAAGTTTAAAAGTATTATGAGATAGTAGATGCAAATGCAGTGAACAGAGCTGTGTTGTAGAATATGGTGTGGTACAACACAGATTCCAGACTTCATTTATAAAAGACAAGGCCAGACGCATAAGAAAGTTATGTTAGCTATAAGAGAACAAACAGACATTGGACTCGAGAGGTTGATGAATCGCTATAACATTCGTTCGTCTCCCTTATATGATATCAAATCTTAGAAAGGCAGCTGTTCACAATTTTTTTGTGTGTCTGGTAAATCATCTCAAGCTGCTGCAGATTCAGTATCATGCATATGACAAAATTAGGCAAGTCAACTGTGTGTTACATGAGTGGTTCATTTCGCCTGATGTTCTATTACATTTGCAGCTGCATCTGCATCTCAGACACGTAACATTAACTGATGTTCATAATGATAACCCTGAGTCATTAAGGAAATGTTGTATTATGTCTGGTACAGTACACTTGAGAAGTAAAGAGATGAAATGGAGAAAGAACTGAGACTTACTGAATGCTTGCTGTATTGCAGATACTGAGAGAGATGAGCTACTTATGTTACTGCCCTTAACAACAGAATCCTGTGACATAGGTACAGTTACCTTCATTTTACAACTGAGAAAAAAACATGTTCAGATAAGGATATTTTCCATATTTGAATTAGGAATCCAAATCCATCTTATTCTAGAATTTTTGCTCTCCCTTTATATCACCAACCTGTTTAATTTTTTTTAAAAGACATATTCAAGTCAGTATTTAAATGAGATAGCCTTAGGTAGTCAGTGTTAGCTAGTCAAAGACTCAAACTCAAAATATTCACAAAAGAAAGAAGAGAACTAATATTTGAGCACATGACCATTCATGATGATTTATTCCCTGTGAACTATGTGTTATTATCCCCAAGTTATAAGTTAAGGAAATTCATTAAGGCAAAGTGACTTGTCCAAGGTTGCTCATTGAGAGAGATGTGGCTTTAATGTGTTTTTGTTTGTTTGTTTTGCAGGCTTCTTTTGTCAATCCACTATGTAAATGTTAGTTTTCTTAAGTCAGTCCTGAGCTCCCTCATTTTCTTCTCCTTCAGTTTCCTTTTGTAGGATAGTTTCAGATGTAAGAATTCTGAAATTTATAACTTTAGATCCCACCTTGCTCTCAAGTTCCCTACATAACTTAGATACTTTTTTCATATACCGTGAAACACTGAAACTCAAAAGATATAATTTTTTCATTTCAACAGTCTCCAAGTATACCTGCAACCCCACATTTCTTGTCTAAGTGAATGACCCCAATTACTCAAGCAAGAAATCTATGTATCACCCTACTTGACTCAGTAGGTGCTGACTGGCCACCTCTTGTTGTCCTTGATATGAATCTCTTTCTTCCTCTTCCTCTACCACTTCTCTAATTTAAGCCAGTCCTAAACAATTGTAGTAGCTATATCAGTCTGCATTTCTCAATGCCATTAGAGTGAACTTCCTATTGAATAATTTTAATCATATCACTTTCTTGCTCTTAATTCTTCAGTGATCCCCATAGCCAAAAGCAAAGCATCCATACTGCTTTGCACAGTAGTACTCATAACCCCTCATGACCTGGTCTCTGTTTGCTACTTATTCCCACCTTCATGGTGATATAGCAATTTTGACATACTTATGGCTCCCTGGACACACCGAACACTGTCAAAGTTTTCTAACTTTGCCTGTTTCCTTCACCTGCTGGTTTACCACACTATTCGTCAAGCATCCTCTCAAATGCTTTTTGATTATTAAGTCTTTCCATCTGTTTTTCAGGGCTGCTATGACTCTTTATTCACACTTCAAATACAGCAGGTGTCTTAGTGTACTGTAATCACATGTGGATTTTTGCTCCTTGGACTGATAACACTGGGCTGAGATGCAGTGTGCACTGGGATGGACATACTGCCCTTTGTGGCTGGCATGCTTTCTGATTAATTATATATCTGTTATGAGTGGTTGGTGTTTATGGCAAGCAGTTGTTCAATATCTTGAATGTCATCTCCTGCTTACTACCAAGCAATGTCTGGCATAGAGAGGGTGCTCATAAATACCTGTTGATTCTTGAATTAGGAATGAATGAATGCCGAGTTATGGCTGGCTTCAACTTACCCTCTTCCCTTCACTGCCTCTGGCTGTACTACACTGAGCTGGTCGGGTTTCTGTGACATATCTACCTGGGCTGGTTCTGTACTGTAGCAAAACAAAGAATAAATGTATTTTGTGAAGAGCTTTCACATATGTGCAGAAAGTTTGCATGTCCCATTGAGGCTTCATTCCTAACAAACAAAATATCCTCACTTTTATCAATGATTTTCAGAGACTTCTTACTGCTCGTAGATGTCCTCTAATCATACAAATTTATACTTACAGCACAAGAATGAGAACTAAGAATAATAATCCAGATATGATCTCATCATTGCAGGATGAATTATGATGATTGGATCCTGTGAGTTGGAAGGCCACTGGCGGACACTGATACAGGCTTAATGACATGGACTTCCTTCACAGCCATATCATCTTGAGCTTGTGCTCACTTGAAGTCCAGGATTTTACTTTACTTTTTCCACATGAGCTGCCATCACATCAGATATGTCCTGGCCCATTAAAAAAATAAATTTGTACTTCTGATTATCTCATTCTGTATACCCCTTTGACCCTCATTCTGGTTTAGGATTTTCTGCAGTTTGACAATTGTGCTTTTGACATCTTTCTTACAAATTATGGATGAAAATACATAAGCAGCAGAGCAAATTTCAGAATCCCATGTTACACCACTTTTCCTCCAGCTTCAGACTGATTCATTAATCAACATTGTTTGGGTGCAAAATGTCCAGATATCGATTCCTGGCTCCAGGGGTGTTTTTTTTTTTTTTTTTATTTCCTTCTATCTAATTCCGTGCTTTGTCCACAAGATATAATTAGAAACCTGAATGGCTCACTTAAATTAATGAGTACCAGGCCTGTATAGTTTATTTAATCTATTAATTTCCAGCCCTTATTAGGAAGTCATCATCATCATCACTGTCATCATTCATCTGTTGAAATCAATTTACCAAAGTAAATTCCTGTCTTTGGTATTAGCTGGACCCCAGTCCTATGTCTTGGCAACTTTTAACTTAGACTCACCTCCAGTACCATGGCCTGGAAGGGCGAGATTCTCCCCAGGCTTCCTCCTGAGTCATAGGGCTTCCCCTGTTAGCCTCTCTGCCTCTGTCTTCTCTCAACTGCCTTCATAACCTCAGCCACAAACTGAAGACTTTTTTCTGGTGAAAACCATTCAGACTAAGCCTTCTGTGAGTTTTTCAGGTCCTGTAAAGATGGATGTGCACAGAGGTGGGTCAAATCACTTATTGTGTAGACTTCTGTCTCTTTGTTGGCTCTTTAAGGGACTTTAGGCCATATGAATAAATCTGTATCTGTATGATAGGTATTGATCTCATTTTGCATATAGTGTTGCTAAACTGAAGCTTAGGCAGATAAATTGGCTTTGGCCAAGATCCATGACTACTGAGTTGTGAGGGTGAAATTTTAATACAGGTTTAAGGCTCAGAGGCTCACACTTGAGCCATTAAATTAACTCATCCTGTTGTCTTGTGAGCACAGATTTCCTTCCTTCCTTCCCTCTTTTCTTCCTCTGTATTCCCTTCATTTTCTTTCCTTTTCTTTTGTGCTCACCTTATCTCCTGTCTCCCTTCTCTCTTTCTCCCTGACCTCATCCTCCCTCTATTTTTTTCTTTTTAGAATTCATGATCACAGTAAAGTTCTTTCAGTCCCTGGGATGCTATTTATTTTAACTTAGGATTGATAATTTACCTCACAAGCCAACTTGGATTTGTCGAGAAAACTAGTCCTTTTATTTTATGTATAGCAGATGTAATCTTCACGCACCTCATGCACTGGTAAATGGAAGGAAAAACACTACCTACAGGTCAAATCGATCTCAAGTTTAGTCTGTCTCATGATGTAAGCAGCCCCTTCTGAAATGACAGGCTCTCAGATAGCTTTCTCTTTTCTTGCTTCTCTCCCTCAAGGATGTCCTGGTCTAGGAGAGGTGGGGATTGTGACTTGTGTGTCTTTACAACACTGGGAGTTGGGGTCTTAGGCCCTTGTTCAGCATATACCTGTTGAACACACACACACAGGGTGCAGCCCTAGCCTCTGTAGGGTCACCTGATCCCTTCAGTATGAGTCCTGGGCAGGGAACACTGTCAGCTTGGAATTTGCACTTCACTAGAACTGAGCCGAGCACGGGAGTGTCAGCCAAGCATCTCTCTCTGACCATGATGCTCGACCTGCTTAGCGAGGCTGGGCTTACCTGTTGGCCTGGAACCCTCAACCCAATGGTCCCTCTCACAGTGCTAGGTGTCATGTATAGGAAAGAGGCCCCTGGCCTAGGTTCACCCGTTGTACACCAAAGCCCTCAAATTAGAAATCGGAACATATGTTGTCTCACCTTTTTTCATATACCTTCCAATAAATCTTACACGATGAAAAACAGGATGGATGCGGTGGCTCATGTCTGTAATCCCAGCACTTTGGGAGGCTGAGGCGGGCGGATCATGAGGTCAGGAGATCGAGACCATCCTGTCCAACATGGTGAAACCCCGTCTCTACTAAAAATACAAAAAATATTAGCTAGGCACGGTGGCACGTGCCTGTAGTCCCAGCTACTTGGGAGGCTGAGGTCGGACAATCGCTTGAACCCGGGAGGCGGAGGTTGCAGTGAGCCAAGATCGCGCCACTCTACTCCAGCCTGGTGACAGAGCGAGACTCTGTCTCAAAAAATAATAATAATAAAAGAAAAAAGAAAAACGGGCAAGGTTTTCTGTCTCCAGATTAGTTTTTTTTTTTTTTTTTTTTTTTTTTTTTTTTTTTTTGGTGACTTCAGACAAACATTAGTGGTAGAAGGGGATATTTTCCTACAATCTGGTTAACCCCCCGAGCTGGCGTCTTCAAGCTTAGTTTTTGACATACAAAAGGAGGCAATGAAGAAATTTGGAGAATAGTTTCTCTAGAGATTGACTTTAAAAGCTTTTGGCTTGTTGTCTAATCATATTTTTATGTCAGAAGCTGACCATTTCTTCAGCTTTTCTCTTTGCAGGACACCTAAAACAAATCTTAATCAGTTCCTTGGGACATGGCTACCTCAGACTTGTTAGGATCAGCAAAAGAAGATTAAAAATATTTAAAATAGCCCCCTTAAGTAAAAGATGGGATATATTTACAGTGTTTACTTTTGCATTTGATTTAATTTGAGATTTTCTTTGAGAAGATGGAAGGAATAAAGAGCAGTTGAGATGTTACACTTTTGATTTACCCTGCGTATCATTCCATTGTCCTCTGACCCATGTCTTTAGCCTATTGCATCCTCGGTTGTCTTCTTCTAAAAGTTGTCTTTTGTGTTGATATTATTGTCCTTAGTATTTTAAAATAAGTCTTAGTTCACTTTGAACTATAATCTCCATAGAAGAACCACCAGCTTCTAATTTTATTTGTTTGTTCTTTGTTTTGTGCTCCTGTCCCTTTCTTGGCCATATTTTCATACTAAGTTTTTTAGAAAGCAGCCAGTGAAGTAGCACTGTTTCTGTTTGTTGTTATTCTTGTTTTAGTGATATCATTTTTTTCTCTTTAGGATTATTTTTAATTAAATATTTATATTTGAGGTCTTAGAAACACTTCACTATATTTGTCTTAGAGCCTCAATGGCAGGATCCAGTTTAATATTTCTTGATGTTTTTGAAATATTTCATAAATTCCAGAATAAGTGACTTAGTATACCAAGCGTTTCCTTTGCTTTTTGTTTGTTTCCCTTTAATTTCAACATGGAATGATATTATTATTCTAAGATTCCTGTCACTGCCACAAAAATGAAACAATGTTTCCTTATGGGTCAGAAGTAAATTTATGGTAGACATTTCCCTTCCGGCTCCCTCTGCATATCAGTCATTTTTCTGCAAAGAAAGTGAAAATTTATTGCATGAGAAACTTTGAAACATCACTCAGTTCTCTTGTTTGTGGTCATATTTTATGGCTTTGAGTGGGGACTTCTGTTCATTCCCATATTATGAACAACAGACTGTTATTGTAACTCATCTGACACAAGAGTTTCCACAATAAAATTAATTGGAAATTTCAGAGAATTGAGAAAGTATAGCTTAAATTGATCTTTAGTTAGGTACAATTTCTTCTTTACCCTGAGACATGAAGACTTTAAAATGAAGACTTAAAAAAAAATGAGGCTGATACTTATTTTTGTAATATGGTGCTAGTTATGTAAAATAAAGTTTTGTTTTAATGGGTTGTTAGACAAATTTTAACGAAATAAAAATAATGCAGAATAATCTGTCTCTGTAGAAGCATAGCCTCAGATTTATGGTCCAGAAATCTAGGAGGGTGGCATGTAATTTAAATATTGAAGGGCATAACTTATCAAATGATATGTCAAGTACAAAAATGGCCTTGTAAAAAGATGACTTTATTAGGGGAGGAAGTAAGGCATATAGTGAACATACTACATAGACTCACATTTTGGAATCGGTATGACTACAGAAAACCACCTTACTTGGACTGGATGGATTTGATAGTGGAAATGAGTGGCCTGTGAGGATGGAAGTTTTTGTATTTATACAGGTTTATGCATCAGAAGTTGGCACTGTCTAAAAAATCCAAAATAAAAAAGGCTAAAAAAAGTTTCATTTTATTTTGCTTTAAAACAAAAATTCCTACATCTAGTGTGATGTTGGTGGTACAGCTACTTCAGTATCTACATGTTGACATTAAAAGTTGCATGACTATTTTCATATTAAATGTTATCCAGAAAGTATGACCCACCTAATATTGTTATTGAAACACCATTTCCAGTCGTGCAATTAATCCTAATTAAACATTAGCACAAAATTTGGAAGATCAGAAAGTTGTTAGTACCATCTTGAATCTCATGATTGCAGAATTAATTTAACAACCCTGTTTGGGCATAATACATTCCAAAAAAATATTTAAAGAAGCATCGATTTATTCAGAAGGTTTATATTTGCTTCATATGCATTCTTCAGTGGTATTCAGGAAACAGCTGTCAGATAAATTATAAAAATACGTGATAAACAAAACCAACTCATCTTTTTAATTGATTTTAATCTAGCTTCATCTAGGCAGCATAATGCTCTTCACTGATAGTAGAGTGAATAATATGAATGCAATTACTTAGCAATTCACCATGACTTAAAAATATACAGAGCCTTAATCTATTACTAATATAGTGTAATGTCCAAAGCAGCAAATTATTGGTGGGAACTATTGAAGATCAGCTGGTAGTTAGTCATACTGCTTTGTTCAAATTTAATTTCAAGAAACAAAGAAGGAGACATGATTACTGGTAGTAACAGCAATGAATTATGGGAAACTACCACTGAATCATTTATTGATTGATAGTGAGTGAAAGTCGTTATCCTCTGATGGCTGTTTGAACAGCTAATATGAAACGATGCAGCTGATGTCTGTCACGAAACCTTTGCCATATTAGCTGTTTCCTAATTGTCGCTTTTATTTTTTGCAGCAGAAATTGGAGCATGGGGGAAGAGCCGTGAATCTAAATTTGTTTTTTGTTGTTGTTGTTTTTTTGCTGATGGAGAAAGTGCTTCTTGGTTTTAAATTCCTACCAAAATAAGAGGGAAGGAATTTTATTTAGTTACCTGAAGTAATGCTAGATATTAAATGATGAAGACTATCAAGATTCCTCCATTTTATGGTATGCTTTATAATATTCAACATCAAAGGTTAGCACAGCCTTTTGTATATTCAAGTAGATAGGAATGGCCCTGGGTGTTACTATCTACCGGATAGAGCAAGAGAAAGTTGACTCTGGCAACTGTCATTACCATTTATTTCTCTCTTTTCCAAACTTAGCCCCCTTTTTTCTCCATAGCAATTGGCTAGAGTCCTCTTGAAGTCTGTATTGCCAACCATAAGTTGTCAGGTGTACAGTAAGTTTTCAAGATAGGATTTGTAAGGTAGACCTAATTATCTTCTTATTTTGGATATTGGGAATATGCAAAGGCTATGACCAAAATTTAGTAATATTATTTGCCTAATTATTATTTAACTTGGTTAATAAGCCCTGATTTAGTTACACTATCGATAGGATGAAAACCCTTGCCTTGAAAATTGGCAGCTGTTGTTTTTACCATTGAACTGTACAAAGCTCTTCCAGTCTATTATACGCATTTTTTTTTTTTCTAAAGAAAACAAGAAATGATTGGCCGGGCGTGGTGGCTCACGCCTGTAATCACAGCACTTTGGGAGGCCAAGGTGGGCAGATCACCTGAGGTCGGGAGTTTGAGACCAGCCTGACCAACAAGAAGAAACCCCGTCTCTACTAAAAATACAAAAAAATTCAGCCAGACGTGGTGGTGCATGCCTGTAATCTCAGCTACTTGGGAGACTGAGGCAGGCGAATTGCTTGAACCTGGGAGGCGGAGGTTGTGGTGAGCCAAGATCGCACCACTGCACTCCAGCCTGGGCAACAAGAGTGAAACTCTGCTTAAAAAAAAAAGAAAAAAGAAAGAAAAAAAAGAAATGACCAATTAAGTGTATCTGATTTAGGAACCGAATGTTGATAACTTGTTTTCAGATTCAGTCCATAATGGAAGTCTATAAAAATGTCAACCAGTTATCAGGGCATAATGCCAGGTCATCTATGTGTTCTTATCATCTTCAAACAGATCAGATGTCTATCATCTTCCTGCTTTGTGCACAGATCTGGGCCACTATGATAATCATAATACATTAGATTTACCTAATGGTTGTTTCCCGGGTTACCCTCTCAGACTTTTGCAATGTTCAGCCTTGCTTTAATGGTTTCTTACAATGCACAAGTACACTTAAATTGCAGCACTGGATGTTTTTCTCCAAAAGTGTTATACATGGAAGGGGAAGGGGGTGAGAAAGATCCTGTAATTGAATAGTTAATAGGCTTTTCACTCAATGAACATGTCCATGAACCTGATACATACTTGTTTTGACGTCTAAAAATGATATTCGAGATGGCTTAACTTGGTTGTTGATTAGCAAGTCTCCATCTAACATTTTCAGTCAAATATTTCTCTCCCTCGCTTGGATGTAAGCCTAGCTAGCTGAGCTGGGGGTGAGAAGGACAGAACGAGTTGGTGTGGGCAGCCTGGTCTGAGTTCTTTTTGGATTGCGTGTTGTAAATCTTCATCCTCTGGGCTCAAATGACCAATATTATATTTTTCAGAAATCAATAATCATGAAATTCATCACTGTTCATTTATAGGTGAATAATTACACACTGAAGAGGCTAATTGCTATTCTATAATATTTTGAAAAACTAGAAAATGGAAAATTGCTAAGAAAATTTATCCATTCCCTTTGCAAAAAAAGTTGGGTTTTGTCAAGAATGTGAAAAGTCTGAAATTTTTCTCTACTTTCAGGCTAACAATTTATTTAGCCTTCCACAGTTTCATGGCAGATGCTGGCAGAAGACATGATACTCCTAGATCAGAGACAAAGACTTCATTACAGCACAGCAAGCAAAACGAACTCCCTTGTCCCTCCAAGTGCTTTGGGGTTGACATAGAGGGGCCTCGGTGGGTACTGTGCAATTAGTGGGTTTGCATCACAGCTGAGGAATCCTAAGTTTAGGAATCCTGAATGTTTTGTAAGGGATGACAAATGAATCTGCCTGAACTTTGCTCGGAAGAGAACCACTATCTTTATTATATTGGGCCATAAACAAAGCTGCCCCTACCATCTGTTTCCATGGGAGACACTAACTCTATATTCCCAGCCTGTTTACTATCAAAACATTATTGAAAAGAGTTCAGAACAAAAGCATAGTTAGTATCTTTGCTCTCAATATGTACAGAAATGTGAGAGACCTATAGAGGTCTAGTTCTAATGTACCTAATGTACACTGTGGACTGTGATAGCTTATGGGTAAAATGATGAAAGGACCGAAAAGCCTATTGATGAGCTTGCATAATGTATATATTTCTGACTCAGATAAAAAAAAAGAGAATATCTGGGAAACACTACCAATGGGGATGGAAGTGAACCAGTTTTACCAATAAAATCTTCTAAATAGTGTAACTAAGACAGGAATCTCATTAGTCCTAGATTGAATTAATGCATGCTGTGACACATCAAGCTGAAAAGTACTATTAATCTTTGACTCTATATAAAATATGTATTTTGACATAATAGTGTTAGTTTAGTGTGTATGTCATATATATAGGTACCAGATTAAGATGGATTTTGGAATTGTTTTGTGCCTTTTCAAGCAGTATAATTTTTAAAAACAAATTCTTGATACAGGTAGTTGTGATTTTCTTTTAACATTCCATGTTAAGATGAAAAATACTGGAATTAAAAACCCATTATGAGAAAGAGTAAATTTGAATATTTCTCCATTATATAGTAATAAATGTTTGTAAAATCTTCCTTGATCTCATGTTTCCAGGTTACTGTTTTGGAATTTGTTTGGCCTTTGCATAATCCTTGATTGACTTTGGTAAATTATATCCTAGTGGAATTATCCACTTTCATTAGCACCACTTTCTTCTTCTTCTTCTTCTACTTTTTTTTTTTTCCTTTTCAGTCAGGGTCTTACTCTTTTCACAGGCTGGAGTACAGTGGTGCGATCATGGCTCACTGGCTCACTGCGGTCTCGACTTCCTGGGCTCAGATAATTCTCCCACCTCTGCCTCCTGAGTAGCTGGGACTACAGGCATGCGCCATCACATCCAGCTAATTTTTTTCTAGTTTTTGTAGAGACAGGGTTTCTCCATGTTGCCCAGGCTGGTCTTGAATTCCTTGGCTCAAGCAATCTGCTTGCCTCAGCCTCCCAAGGTGCTGGGATTACAGGCATGAGCCACCATGCCCAGCCTGTTAGTACCACTTTCTAAGCACAAGATAAAAAGCTTATCTTTGCCTAAAATATCTTCATTACCATATTTCTTTAATAAGACCTTTATCATCTCCTGTAGTATCTGTCTGTGTTATATGAAGTTTTACAGTAAAATTTCATATATGCCATTTGGTGGGTTACTATGGAAAATTTTATCTGATGTTAAAGTTGTCCATCAAACTACTTGACAATAACATCTCATTTATAAACATCATTCAGATTTATTGGATGATGTATTATTACTCAGGTTAAATAAGCATTCTAGTAAACTGAAAATTGTTAATACATACATACCACAACATTTACTATAACGTTCATAACAAATTTTCAAATGACTCAAAGACAAGTACTTTTTTAAGCTAAAGTTGCAATCAAACTAGTTTGATCTTTGATTAATGCTAGTGGAGCTAGAGGCCTTCTGTTGTATCTGATCTCCTGTGAACAGTGGCAATTTCTAAATAGTTCTGAAGATGTAATATTTGACCAAATCTGCCCTTATCTGGGGTTTTATTTACTGCTTGGCTTTTCTACTATCAGTATGGTTACTGTCATGTTTCACTTTTAAAAGCCTGAATACAAAATTCATAGGAAAAAAACGCTAATTATTTCTATTTTGTTTTTTTTAGAGTGTCAAATGCAGTGAACCAAGTTTTCCTATATATTTTTTCAGATAAATTGAAAATAGTAAAATGTAATAAAAATATAAAATGTCTCATTTTTAAAATGTGAAGTTCTTTTAGATCTAACATTTGATAGCTATAATAGACTTATCATAATATCATAAAACTAGAATCCCTTAGTAATAATCTAGCCCATCATCTTTATTTTACAGGTGAGGAAATTGGGGCTCAAATAAGTTAACAGACAGACTCATGATTTCCCAGATTATTATGTAAATATATGGGACTGGAACCCCAGTTTTCCATGTGTTAATTCATTGCTCTTCCATAACCAAATTACCCTGAAACTAATATGACATTAATTTTAAGTTGTACCATTACTTATATATCACTAAGAAATAAGAAAGACTTCTAATAAATTATGATAGTTTCATTAATGATAGCCTCTCACCCCCCACTGCTGCCCCAGCCCAATGCATGAATCCATCCCCTCATTCCCTCATTGCTTTGAGACATTTTAAAATCTATTCTGAGAGTTTGGGCAAGACTTTCCCCCCTTCATCTTCACTGAGTTGCATGTCGGGAAATCCTTTTGCACAAATAGCAGTAACAAAATACAACACAGCTACATATGTTTGTGGGTATCTTTCTCGTGTTTCATAGGACACTTTGTTGATTTGCATGAAAATCAGTAATTGTCATTCCTCCAATGAAGACTGTTTTACTCAGACCAAATTTATGCCCTGTATTTTGTTGCCATGTATTCATATAAACAATATATTTATGTTTCAGTGATGAGAAGGTGTTTTAAGTGGCAATTAACATGTGTTGTAGCAACAATGCCCATAGCTTAGTCAGGAGAAAGAGTTCGATTATCTATGTCCAAGAACAGGTAATTGCAACTTCATAATGAGTTTCCCTTGCATTTATCTTTGCAGTCTTTGTAAGAAAATATCTTGCAAGAGATCTCTTGATTTCAGAGATGTTGACATTTAAAATAATAATAATAATAAAAATCTGAGTCTCAGAATTGGTGAAATATACCTCCTTAAGATTTGCTAGAAGTCTGCTTCAGAATGTTTCTTGTTGAATAATATTTTTACAGAATACTATGATTATTTACTTAAAAAAGGCTCTTCAGCTCTTGCTAGCACATCCAAACAGAGAAATAAATCTGGGACTCTTGATTGCATGCATATCCTATTCTATTTTTAAGCTTTTTCAAATCGAATAGATTGCTTAGTAAATGCTCTTTAATACACATGTTCAAAGTTCTAACTTTGTGTTTGGTGGGATGCTCTTATATTACAAAACTTAGTTACAAGTAGTGAATGTCAAACATGACCATGAACTTCTAAAATTCAGAGTGGTTTATTCTTCATTAATTTTCAAAATTGAAATACATTTTAAAAGGACATGGTTTCAAAATCATTAAACTCCTCAAAGGAGTTCCCACTTACGTACTGTTTATCTGACTCATGTAGTTGAATATTCAGTAATACAGAGTTTGATTAGCGTTTTTAAATTTTTTACTTTTTGGAAAAAATAATCTTGGTTTGGAATATACTGAGTCTATACAGAGGACAGGAATTTAATTTCAAATAAGTTTTCAGATTGCTTCTAGCTCCCCATGTCATAATTACTATTTTGACAGTTATGTCTCATAGACATTTATTTTAATTGCATATGTTAGCAATTCATTTTGGCATGACACTCTCTACCATTGTTGTGTTGCCGAATTATGCTTACAGAAACTATGTCAGAAATTCAGCATGTGGAGAACAGTAATTAACCTGACTCATCAATTAGCTTTTGTGAATACAGATGTCCTATGAATATATTCCAGTCATTTTTTTTCTTTTTTAATTAAGTAAAATCTCACTACCCTGATTCTCTCCGCACCTTCTACTTCTAACCTGTCTCTGAGTCTTCTTCACTTACCACCTGTATGTTTTGAATCTGTGCCCTATCTACCATCAATAGCCTGCATATATTAACATTGTCTCTCTTCTGTGTTTTGCCTATTTAGCCTCTGTCTCCCACACACACTCTTGTCCCCTCTAATTCATTCTCACCCTTGCAAGTAGAGGAATATTTATAAAATTCAAGTCACGTCTTGCTGCACCCACCTGCTGGGTGTGTGGAATGATTCTGGGACTACTTCACAGGAAAAAACGAATATCCTTGAGAGAGGCTACAAGGCTCTACACCATCAGTCCTGCCACCCTCTCTGAGTCTCGCCATGTGTGAGTCTCTGTGTCTGCTTGCCACATGGACCTACATTCCGTCCCTTGAAGGTAGACACCATGCTTCTTCCTCTATAGGGACTTTGCACATGCAATTGTTTCTTCTACCTAGAGCATTCTTCCCACCCAACCCAGCTTCTCTTGGCCAGCTCCTTCATTTTTCACATCAATAGTCACTTCAAACATTGCCTTGTCTGGCCACCCAGACCTAATCTAGGGCCTCTTTATGTGTTCCACTGGAAATATGAACAGGACTTTTATGATTCTTATCACAGAGTACAAAGAAATATGCATTTATTTTAATAGGGTGTGTGTGCTGGACCACGGTGGGTTTCACAGGGTAGGAATTCTGTTTATTCACTGCAGTATCCACAACCATTTGCACAGCAATTAGCACGTAAGTGTGCAATAGTTACTTGCTTAAAAAATGAGTAACTCTACTACAATGAAATGGGTGATTATTAAATCTAGGCTGAAGTGAAATTTATATTTTCAAAGAAAAGTCTGCCATAAAAAAAAAAATGTAACCGTAACAGTGGTCCATTTTAAATGGCTTTTAAAGAGATTTAGAATACATGGTTTGGAAATGCACTTAATAAAAAATATGTCTTATCATTAGAGAGTCACATATCTTATATATTTGGTTAGGCACTTCCACTTCCCAGCTGTGCAAATAATTATCTTTCTGCATCTGCTTCCTGCTCTACCTGCTCTAAATATGTCTCCGGCTTGTTGTAAAGAGAAAGCAAGTGGGGTGGGGTGTGAACTATAAAACACTGTATGTACAGTTTAACTATTTAAGTATGCCATGCAGATTCTTTGTTAGCCATTGACTTGATTTTTACAACACCCTTGAAAATAATTTCTGAAATGTCTCTAACATGTTCTACATTTTAGATTTTCCACTAATTAATACTGACTTTTCTTTTAAGTAGTCTAAATTATCATGTATTTTTAGATATCTTATGCATTTGTTTCATAAACTAACATTTGTTTTGAGGACATTACCTGCAATGCATGTTTTTTTTTTTTTTTTTTTTTTTGAGATGGGGTCTCGCTCTTTCACCAGGCTGGAGTATAGTGGCTCAATCTCAGCTCATTGCAACCTCCGCCTCTCAGGTTCAAGCAATTCTCCTGCCTCAGCCTCCTGAGTAGCTGGGACTATACAGGCACGCACAACCATGCCCAGCTAATTTTTGTTTTTTTAGTAGAGATGAGGTTTCATCATGTTGGCCAGGATGGTCTCGATCTCTTGACCTCGTGATCTGCCCGCCTTAGCCTCCCAAAGTGCTGGGATTACAGTTGTGAGCCACCACACCCGGCCAATGCATGCTTTTAAATTTAGAAGTTTCACCTCATCCTGAAGAAGAGCTCATATGAATATGATTACAAGAAAATAACATTTAGATTGAGCCTTTATTTTTTCTGATGTCATGCAAAATCCGTAACTATACTTTTTAGCTCTTTCTCTTAGCCAAAGGGTAGTCAATTATGTTAGTAGATGAGAGGATATTATTCAACTAAGTGCAATGACCATTTTAATAATATTTATATTCACCTGAAATGTTGATCAGACTTTTACCTAGGTTGCTATATTCTCATTTTATATACATAGGTCTGGCATATAGACATTTTCATATCTACCTCTAACTACAAGGAATATGTATATACTTTTTTAAAAACTGAAATTCTTTTGAAACCCTTCTTCTAATTCTGTCTCAGTCAGTTGTGTTGCTATAAAGGAATACCTGAGGTTGGATAATTTTTAAAGAAAAAAGATTTATTTGGCTCATGCTTCTGCAGGCTGTACAAGAAACATGGTGTCAGCATCTACTTCTGGTGAGGGCCTCAGGAAGCTTCCACTCATAGTGGAAGGTGAAAGGGAGTGGACATCACATGGTGAGAGAGGAAGCAAGAGAGAGAGGAGGAGGTGCCAGACTCTTCAACAACCAGCTCTCAGGGGAGCTCTCAAGGACACTAAGAGTGAGAACTCACTCACTCCCTTGAAAATGGCACCAAGCCATTCATGAGGGATCCATCCCTATGATCCAAATACCTCCCATCAGGCCCCACCTTCAACACTGGGGATCAGATTTCAAAAAGAGACTTGGTAGGACCAAACAAACCATATCCAAAGGGTAGCACTATCCATGCCATGCCATTATTTTATATACAAATCTGGAGAAGAAGCATTTGAAATGCAATTGTCAAACCTATATTTGATAAATTAATCTTTATTTACAGCAATAAGTATTGTCTTACATCTGTATTAATATAAAATAGTCGTATATATACATACATACATATATATATATATATATGTATATATATATACACACACACACACACACACACACACACACACACACACACACACACATATCAATTCCCCCCAACCCCCAAGGGCATATTTTCAAACTGGGCATCAACCAACCAATTTTACAGGTATTTTTCACTGAATTCAGTCTATGTTTTGGACTAAAGTTTATGGTCCAAATTATGTAATGATAAATTAGATAAGTCTAACCATTATCTTTACCTCTCAGATGGTCTGGAATAATGGCAGCTCAATAAATCCTTTCCCTGAAATACAGAGAGGTAGATACTTGTCTTGCTTAGTACACCAATTTCCATGTTTTACCTTCAATTATAATAATTAAAGTGATTAAAGGGTTTTTATTATTGACATGAATCATGTGAGTCATCTTTTCCCAATGTCAACAATATTCTTGAACGAAATATATGACTAATGACTGGATTTCAGCTGTAACATGTAATATTATCATGTATTAAAAATCTAATATGATAATTTATGTATTTTATAATAAATAATGTATATATTTACATATTTTGTAATTTGTATGTATGTAATTAATTTATGGCACACTTTAGTCAATGATAGCATTTAAATCTGAGTCCATTTCAATTTGAGTTGCACTACCAGCAGATTTCCAGCCTACATTTTATATTTGAAATGTATTTGCTTTACTTCAAATTAGGTGTATTTCTTGTTTTGTTAAGATACTGAGTTCAAATTTATCTCTTTTAAATGACACTGTATTGACCTTTGCACATTGTCTGTTGTAAATGTGTAATTTTATGTGTCAATACAGTATCATTTGCAAATCAGAAAAAGAATCTGGCACCTCCTCCTCTCTCTCTTGCTTCCTCTCTTGCCAGGTGATGCCTACTCCCCTTCACCTTCTGCTGTTAGTGGAAGCTTAGCTTCCTGAGGCCCTCACCAGAAGTAGATGCTGGCACCATGTTTCTTGTACAGCCTGCAGGGGCACCAGCCAAATAAATCCCTTTTTTAAATAAATTATTCAGCCTCAGGTATTCCTTTATAGCAATATAACTGATTGAGACAGAATCATTGCAATATCATTTGCAACATCATTGCAAATTCTATTAAAGAATCCATTAAATATTGTGATTTAGTGAAAGCTACTTAGTAAAAAGGTTATGTTCTATTTATTTGTAGTATCCCTAAGGCGAAACCTGTAGGCTTCTTAGACATACCATTGAAGGCTACTGAAATTATTGAATTCAATATTATAGTATCTGCTAGTGCAGGCCAATATGCGTAGGTCAATACCCAATCATGATGGTTAATTTCATGAGAATATTGTTGCAGAATGTTGGGTTTGAGGGAACCTCCCATGTTCACTGAGGTTAAAATACATCCAAACTCATCCAACATAATTTCCTAACATGCCAAGAGTGATTGGGAAAGGGATACATTTTTGGGATAGATTAAAATAAAAAAAGTGATAAAACATGAAAACAAATAGGGCCTAAAATCAGCTAATTAATTCAAAAGTGATCAGAGAATAAAAGTTCTGCAAATAAAGGTTAGAATGGAACTCAAAGGAAGCAAGTAATGCTCACCTTCCCTAGAGAGCTCTAATAAGAATGTCACATTAGGTCATGACCATCTTCTCCTTATCATGCTGCTGTTCTCTGGCTCTGTTTTGATATTACTGCTGGTTGCAAAGTGCTTTATAGTATTTAGAAATAATCAGACCCTTCTTACTACAAAAAACCTCAGTTCTCTTTATTACCTAGATGTATTGTGTAGGCAACTGCCCTTTGGTATTCATTTTGAAGGTTTAGAATGACCCTTTCAGAAGATGTTAATTACATATTTTGTTAGGGCTAAGTATGGTCTCTAAGAGGTAGCTTCTTCTTTCTTTATACAAATATTATTTGTATCCTGAGATTTATATCAAACTTTTACCTAATTACCAGATTTTAATATTCTTATTGACCATATTGGAGATAATTCAGAGAACATTTTGTTTTTTTTACAAGTAGTTACTGAAAGAAAAGAGAAAATAACTTTATATTGATTTTTTCATATGATTATAGATTAATCCTCAGGCAATATAATTAATATCATAATTCTTCCCATCTTTTAAATGAAGAGTTTACAAAACATATAGTATTTGTTAACACTTAATATTTACTATGTGCCTGGTGCCATTCTATGTGCTTTTACATATATTACCTCATTTCATCTTTACAATAGCTCTCTGTATTAGTCAGCTTGGAATGTTATAATAAAATACCACAGACTGGCTGGCTTAAACAACAGAAATTTATTTTCTCAAGGTTCTGGAGGCTGGAAGTCCAAGATGAGAGTGTTACATGGTTAGTCTGGTGAGGGCCCTCTTTCTCTCTTACCAGTAACTGTCTTCTCACTATGTGCTCATAAGACCTCTTCTTTGTGTATGACGAGAGAGAGAGAGACAGACAGACAGACAGAGAGACAGAGACAGAGACACACAGAGAGAGACAGAGACAGTCAGAGAGAGGGAGAGAGGGAGGGAGAAAGAGGGAGAAAAGATGAGAGAGAGGGAAAAAGACATGTCGGGAGGAAGCCAGGGAGGGAGGGAGAAGGAGAGAGTGTGCAGGAATGAGCACAAGTGCTTTCTGGAGTCTCTTCTTATAATGATACTAATCCTATCAGATCAGGGACCCACCATTATGGCTTTATTTAACCTTACTTCCTTAGAGGCCCCATTTCAAATACAGCCACACAAAGGGTTGGAGCTTCAACGTACAAACCTTCAGTTCATAACACCCTCCAAGCTAAGTTCTAATCATTCCCAGTTTACAGAAGAGGCAATTGAGACACTGAGGGTTTGGTGATTTGCTGGATGTTACCCACTAGCAAGCTTTAGGGCTAGGATTCATACCCCGGCTGTCTCACTCAGGTCTCTCTCTGCCCTTAACTGCATTAGCCAGAGATCACAGAGAAAAGGCAAAAAGAGTAGAGATATTTTATGATACGGATAAGAGATGAGAAAGGGAACTTAAAAGATTCACATTTTCTACTTAAAAGCAAAGTTACAAAGCCTGTGGAATTGCTCTGACTTAGAAAGAACTTGATCATGCTTTTGGAGTCTCTATGTGTTCTCTCTCTGTTGGTTAGTTTTAAATCAGCCTGCCTCACAAGGGAGCCTGCATTTGATTCCCAAGCCCACCTCACATTTACTGAATCAAAGTCTCTGGGAAGGTGGCAGTCTGAGACTGTGCATTTTTAAAGAGTTCTCCAAATAATTTGTATGTGTTCTAAGGTTTAAAATTCACAGCTTCTCGAAGAGGTGTCCAGCTCAGGTTAGGAGATATAATTGGAGGTGATACAATTATGTTTGGGCCAAGCACTGGGCCATGTGTAAGCTCTTGCTCAACGCAAAAATCTGATATGCACCAAATCCTTTAAAAACAGCTCTCCAAGGAAAATTTAGGTAACCTATTCATACTGCTGGCATGTGCTCCTCCTGTTTCCACCCTCGTTTATTTTGGATATTTTTCCAGTCCTGGAAATCATCTTCCATTTTGGCACCATTTCTTGATTGCCATCTTGATAGGACTTTTGTCTGCCCACTCCCCCACAACAACCATTCCTGTCTCCCACTCACTTTACCACCCAACTCCCTTTCTTGTCTATTCCTGGATGCAGGACACCACATAGTACTTTCTAACTTTGATATTGCCTATGACCTAGAGAGTGGTAAGTCATCCATGTGACTTGGTTTGAGAGGCACTGACAGGCTGAGTGACTCAACGTTGTTTCAAAGTCTAGTTCCTATGGTGTGTTGCTCAGGCGCAATTTACATCGTATGGAGCACTTACTCCAAGATATACACGAGAGAAAATTCTACAATTGGTTTTGATTGGGAAATACTTCAAATTGATCTATAAGTTGTAGATAAACAAGTTCTTCAGGGCAGGATGTGAAAAGCACATGCACGAATTCTCTTGTGTGTCTCCGTGTATGTAAGATTTGGTAAAAGTTTAGAGCTGTATATTTTTCACATTTTCCTAAATGTTTATTAAATAAACATTTAATAGACACTTGTCATAGTAAAAGTTCTGAAAAGAGAAAAACTAATTCTATGTATTTCAACACATCAACCTCCAAATTTATTTGATCACAGAACCCATATTTTCTGCATAGGTGTTTTGATTTTCTGAGGACCTAATGTTTTATGCACTAGTGTATTGGTTCATTTCTTGAGGCTTAATTTCCCAAAGCTCTTTTTAAAAACACAAAACACTTACCTGGGGCAGAGAGTATGGATGATCTCTGAACACTTCTAGAAAATTTTACAACAGAGATTTGAAAAGATAAGGATGTAGAGAGTGCAGGACAAAGATAAGTTAATCTAGGGCACATGCACTTTGAGATAAGAGGGTATCATGAAAGAATTTTAATGGAAATTTTGGGTATAACTGGGGTGATTAGGGATGTTCTGAGTTAACTCCAATATTTTATTTTATTGATTGAGACAGAGTCTCATTCTGTCACCCAGGCTGGAGTGCAGTGGTGCAATCTCGGCACACTGCAACCTCCACCTCCCTGGTTCAAACGATTCTCCTGCCTCAGCCTCCCAAGTAGGTGGGATTAAAGGTGGGATTAAAGCCATCATCATACCTGGCTAATTTTTTTTGTATTTTTAGTAGAGATGAGGTTTTACCATGTTGGCCAGGCTCTCCTTGAACCCCTGACCTCAAGGGATCTGCCTGCCTCGGCCTCCCAAGTGGTGGAATTACAGGTGTGAGCCACCATGCCCTACCTCCAGTATACTTTGGAGGGAACATGAATGTAAGATGCAGAAGAACGAAGAAGATGATGAAAGAAAAGGTGGATATGAAGGTGGGAGATTTGAAAGCAGATTTTATGCCCTTCACAGATTTTTAGATGCCAAACCTGTCAAGAAGTTTGAGAATTGAGATGTAGATATATATGTGTGTGTGTGTGTGTGTATCTCTATGTATCTATCTTATCTATGTATCTATGTATCTATCTATGTATCTGTGTATCTATGTATCTATCTATCTATTTATCTATCTATCCTACCTACCTACCTATCTGTCATCTACCTACCTACCTACCTACCTCTCTCTGTATCAAGAGAACTTTACATTTCTAAAACTAATTATCTCAGGTCTCTAAAGTTAAGACCTGATGTCAATGTCAAAAGTCAGTCCTCTTCAAAACATTTTAAATTTGTGATGTTCCTGAACAACAGAAGGCTTAACATCCTGCTGTGTGTGAAGATAGGCGCACCACCATAAATTAGAACATGTGGAGCTTTTGTTTTTCCTTTGACTTTCAAGTCCATCATTTTTATTAGTGTTCTTAGAACCCCTTTCTCTGAAGACAGACTTTGCAACTTTCTCTAAAGTTTTTAAAGAGACAACCACTTTGATAAATTGAAGGAAAGCAAGAACAGAGAGCTTGGATTTTATCTGTTTTTTTTTTTATTTTTCCATTAGCATAAATATAACATACAAGGAAAATTCATGTGTGCCTTAGGTCATGACTGTAATGCTTGCATCTTCTCTAGGAAGAAGCCGTTTTTTTGAAGTTGGTATAAAAGTATGTGTCAAGAACACTACCTTGAATTTTACCTTGAAGTCATAAGCCATCCACAGAATGTGTACGTTTAGGCAAAAATGCTCATTAAATAAACTTACATTCTGTCTAAAAGTTTGTTGTAAAACTTATCAATTGAAATTTCTCAATATTTGCAACTATGTCGTAGCAATGTATAGCCACATATGAAGGGCCAGGTGTAACCTGCATTTTCAGTTTGGCACATTGCCCTTCTGTGATATTCTGCTCTTGGGCCTTTCCTTTTCCGCTTGTATTCCTTTTCTACATCCCTTCCTATGTCCCCATACTGTCACTCTGTTCATCAAAGCCTGCCTTCAGGAGAGGAGCTCACAGACGAATTCATAATAAGTATTAATAACTGATAAGGCTGAACACATTACAGGAAGATTTCATTATATTTTATTAATGTTAATCCCTAATACCAAGTGAATTAAGTTCTCTTTGTAAAATTTTATCCGCCAGCAATGTTTAGGAAAAGTAAACTGCAGTGGTTTGTGGAGCCGCTGGACCAGCTTACAGGAGCTAATTGTTAAAATTTTAGGAATTTTTGTAAGCTGGGAGTTAAACATAGCCACCGTTGTTAAATATGAAATTATATAAACTTGTAATTAAGTAGATCATATTGAAAACGATTATACTCAAAAATTATGTCCTTATTATATGACTATATTTTAATACTATCCATGCTCTTGAGTACATTCTTGTTTATTGTATTTGTGGGATATATAATTGCATATTTCATCCCTACTCCACTCCAGAGACATATTGTTAGCTTGAAATTAGTCATAGTAGATGTATTTACATTATGGAAATTACCAAATATTACAAATAGGGGTATGTTTTATCGTTTTGCTGATTGGCAAGACTTGAGATAGTACTGGAGAACATGTTGTTAATAATGCAGATTAAACTTAAAAGTACAACATAGCTATATGCTTTACATTGTTTAATATCACAAAAATTGAGGAAATACTCTCTTAGTATTTGAAAAGTATTATCCAGTTTAGCATAAAATGTCACTGTTAACATTCTGACACATATTTCCTTCATTTCACTCTGTTAGTGTTATTTAAGGTAAGAGAAAATATCAACCGCATGGCAGAAATGCCCTTTTCATCAATTGCAACCAGGTTGGTGGCTACTGTGTTGGTTAATTTTATGTGTCAAAAAAGCTAGTCCATGGCACCCAGGTATTTGAGCAGACATTATTCTAGATATTTCTGTTAAGGTGTTTTTATGAGATTAATATTTAAATCACTGGACTGAGTAAATCAGATTACCCTTCATTCTGTGAGTGGGCCTCATCCAATCAGTTGAAGGCCTTACTAGAGAAAGACTGGCCTTCCTTATAATGCCTGCATCCTCTTTAGGCAAATGTAGTTTTTTGAATAAGTGTAATTCACTATATATCTCATTAGACATAATGAGATATAAAAGTATGTATCAAGAATGCTTCCTTGAATTTTAGCTTAAAATCACAAACCGTGTTTACTTCTAGGTAAAAACTCTAAGTAAATACATTTGCATTCTATCTAAAAGTTTATTGTAAAATTGAGCAATTGAAATTCTGCTAGCTGACTGACTCTTCTTTCTCTCTCTCTGTCTCTCTGTCTCTCTCTCTCTCTCAGAGATATTTATGTGTATCCTGTTGGTTATGTTTCTCTGGAGAACCCTGACTTAATACGAACTTGGCAAAAACCAACAAAAGAATTATGTGCAAATGAATTGGCTTTAGGGAATTTGTAATAAACAATATTGTATGTTTTATAATTATTTGTGAATTGTGTGCTGTACATTCTTTATATCAGTAACATATATCATAAACATATATATACATATGCACATTTTTCTTCTACAGGGCAGGATGTGAAAAGCAAGTGCATGGTTTCTTTTGTTTGTGTACGTAAGATTTGAGAAAAGTTTAGAGCTGTTTATTTTTCACATTTTCCCAAATGTTTATTAAATATATTTAATATAGACAAAGAAAAACTGCATATATTATTCTTAACATTAATTGAAAGACAGAAAAGAAATTTTTATTTTCTAAATATAGAACAGTTACTATTAACTGCAATGTATCTTTTGAAGTGAAATTCCAAAAGTAATTAGCTGTTGTTTAATAAATATAATATTTTCACAAACAGTGCCATTGGGATAGTTCTACTGCAAAGGCAAGGTTCATGTGTGAATAACTGCAGGTGTTCAGTTTTCAAAGCCTCTGAAAACCCTTGAACATTGAAACCTACATGGTGTGTTATCTCCTTAAAGGAGATATAGTTTGAGTGGATTCCATGGTTATTTGAAGTGTGTAGTTTTATAATGCCCCAGCATTTGAAATTCAAGATTTAATAATCTCTCACCTACCAAATCATCAAATGGCCTTTCATAACAGGATGCTGTACCATTCATTTCAATGGCAGCCATGGGATAATATGTTCTGAAGCCATGATATTGATAAAGAGCCTGGCTACCATGAGGAAAAAGAAAAAGAAAGATTCTGCTTGGACTTAATATGTTTTTGCTCTTTCAAAAGGCAGGATAATGTTAACTTTAATTTATTCAGTTATGCATTTTTCAACTTGCAGCATTAAAGAATGTAGAAAATAGAGTAAAAGAAACAGATATGCAAAAGAGTAGAAGGCCCTTTGTATGAAAAGTGCCTCCTTAGTGTTCAGTTATTGATTTTTTTTCATGACTTGGCTTTGCAATGAATATGATGGAAAGACAAAATCAATATGAAATAAAATTTATGTAAGTACTGTTCCATGCGATGCAGATTTTATACATTTCTGGAGTATAAGTTTGTTCTTGCAAAGTGGTTTTAAAAGAAGTACATGAAATCAGTGGCAGTAACAACGCTGGCAAAATAAGCACTTTATTTCTAGAATGCTGGTAATGGAGTCCTGGTTTCTAATTGGTACTTTATAGCACTGACAGATTTTAAATTGGGCTGATTTTTGGTGCACACTCCTTTATGCCTGGATTTTAAACTCATACTTAGATTTAGTGCTACTTGCTATTTGTATGTGGCAATATGAACAAAATATTTTCATTACTATTTCATTTTCAGAAGCACAAAAACCTAGGATGCGGAGAGGTTAAATAGCTCCCACCCTTCCATATTTTCCATGTGAGAAATCTAGTATAGAATGATAAATGTCAGGTCTGAAACTAAGGTTTCTTAATTCTCAGTTTCACCCCAGCCACCCAGTCCACACCATCATTGTTTTGTCCACTATATCACAGCCAAGATTAGGAGAATAATTTAGCTTCTTCAAGTCTCCATATAATACCTACATTCACATTTTGGCTACATCTGTTCAATTGTGACAACTTCAGATAGGACCAAAAATTTTGACTTCATTGGCCCTCTGCATCTATCAAGATGATTGTAATGGACAAAAACAAGAAATGAATCATATCTGCATCATTACTCAAAGAATTATCTTCATAAGTCAAAAAGTGTGCTAGTATCATTGCAAAAGATGTCAGACAAGAATACGTGCATACAGACACATGCCCGCACACACATAAGGATGTTGTTTGTAATCTAAGAGCACTTTGGTTCTTTTCCACTCCTGTTCACCAGGAATTGGGATATGACTGTGGGGTGGAGTGGCAAAATTAAATGAATAAGCCCTGATGAATTATTCTGTTGTAATAGTATTTTCTCACAGTGGACAATGGAAATAAGAGTGGAATATCAAGGCAGAGGGAAAATTCACAAATTACTGTCCTAAATGGAGAAATGAGAGAACGCAATAGTGAATCTTAAAGAGGAAATCACAGCAACACAGGAACTTTTAAAAGTCAGCCAGTTTGTTTGCCCATCTGAAAGGCAGTCCCTTCTCAGATATCCAAGTGAAATTCTGCCTTTAGAGACAGGCTTTTTCCGTTGTCGAACAATTATAATTTATAAACTATATGTTAAAGCAAAACTCTGCCTTACTATAGCTTAAACTAAATTCTGTGATTCTGGAATAATTTTCTGGCTCTGGAAATAATCAGCAAATGATTTGTGCATTAATTTATTCATTCCCTCAGTCATAGAGTAAATATTTAACGAGTACCTATAACGTATTAGGCATTGTGCCAGATGTTCAATGTATCTAACTCTTTCTTCTTCCATATGAAATTCCTTCAAATATTGGAAGTCCTGTAGTCCTGAAGTTGTTTTAGCGTTCATTACTCAGAGGGCGTAATTCTGTGTTTTTCACTGTTCTGGTCTCTCTCTTCTACTTGCATTCAACTGTCAAATGGAAAGAAGATGACCATTGGAGATATTTAATTAAAGGAAAAGCATTTCTTATTTCATTAATTATGATATGGCTTCAGGAGAACATATAGTGTACATCACTTATGAGAAACTCAAAAACTGGTGTTAGCACTTTGTGACCACCATTCTATTATTTTGTGTTTTAAAAATTTGCCGCTACTCAGGAGGCTGAGGCAGGAGAATGGCATGAACCAAGGAGGCGGAGCTTGCAGTGAGCTGAGATTGCACCACTGCACTCCAGCCCGGGCAACAGAGTGAGACTCTGTCTCCAAAAAAAAAAAAATGCCTAATGTTGATGAACTTTAGAGAGTGATAAATTGTTCAGCATTTTTATTTCAAGGTGTATGACTACGATGCTGTGCCCATTAATTTAGCTCAGGATTTCTGACCTTACATTCTTCATTAGAGAGACACATGTCTAAATGTTTCCTTTTCTAAAAATCAGAACACTTGTCCAGCAGCCAAATGTTCTTCCATTTCTCAGAAGAGTCGTTATTCAAAAAACCAGTATTTTTGGTTGATAGGCAACTTATTTAAATAGTTAAGCAAGTTTCTAAACTTCTCAGCTATTGAGCATTATTTTATTTTTAAATTAATGCTATGTAGCCTCTAAGAAGGAAATATCTATGGAAATGAGAATTGGAGAGCTTGTATTGAAAATAAATCCTCACCTGGATTAAGTTTCATCTGTATGTGCTGTGAACTATTGGGGAATGAAATGTTTTACATATGAAAATTCTGTTGGGTTGTAATAACTTCTTGGTGCCTATTTATTCTTATAGAAATCTGTCCTGATGTGAAAATCACATGGACAGTAAACTTTTAGATGAATATTGTAAGTTTCTTATAACTTTTTCAGTCTTCTTTTTGTTGCTTGCCTAATTCTAGCATTTCCCTGTATATAGATTTTGGTCAGTTTTGGGGTGGGGAAAGGGCAACCCAAATTTTAGAATTATGTGCAACAGTTATAAAATATAGTGTCTGGCTGAGGGTCGATGGGACTCAATTTTCTCAATGTGCATGGATTGTACTTACAAAGGAATCTTGGTGTCTCCATTGTTTGCTCAGTTATATTTCTCAGTTGTTTCCTTGTATATGTATTGGATATAAGAGGTAGGAGGTAATTAGAAAGCTAATATTTTAATGAATTGGCCTCTTCTTACTTTATTGAAAGATAAAACATAATTTACTTTTTAATTTTTAACATGGGGAAAGTTACTGTGCTGTCATTAGAACTCACGCAGGTTACTGTGAATTTCAGATGAAATACATGTAATTATTTTTGTAGCTAGTATATAACTTGAGAGGAGTTACAGCTTTGTAGTTACATTTGTGGGCTCTAGAGTCAGACTGCTGTGGAGTAAGCTCAGGCAAGTTGTTTAACTTCCTTGCATTTCATTTTCTTCTTCTGTTACTGGGGCCTGTAATAGTAACTACTTCATAGAGTTTTTCAAGGGATTACCAAAAAAAACAAAAAAAAGACAAAAAAAACCCACAAACACCTAAAACATGTAAATAGCCATGGTAATGCCAGCTACCATATTACTTTGAGGAAACAACTTATTGACTTCACTCACTTATTTTGCTTGTGAATGAAATTAAAGCAGATAATTCTGACAAAATATTCTATGAATGGTTTGATGGTTTGTTTAGTTTGTATTAAAGTTGACATCTGTAACTTTTCACTATAAGCTTTTTTTTTTTGGCAGGAGTGGGGGATTGATTATATTAGAGTTTGTAAAGAAAGCCTTTGTTGCATTTCGCAGAGGCATGGGATTTGTAATGTCCATTCATGGTGGAAAGACATATCCTTATACATCTGACCATAATTTGAAAGAATTTTGGCACTATTCACAATAGCAAAGACTTGGAACCAACCCAAATGTCCAACAATGATAGACTGGATTAAGAAAGTGTGGCACATATACACCATGGAATACTATGCAGCCATAAAAAATGATGAGTTCATGTCCTTTGTAGGGACATGGATGAAATTGGAAACCATTATTCTCAGTAAACTATCGCAAGAACAAAAAACCAAACACCGCATATTCTCACTCATAGGTGGGAATTGAACAATGAGATCACATGGACACAGGAAGGGGAACATCACATTCTGGGGACTGTTGTGGGGTGGGGGGAGGGGGGAGGGATAGCATTGGGAGATATACCTAATGCTAGATGACGAGTTAGTGGGTGCAGCACACCAGCATGGCACATGTATATGTATGTAACTAACCTGCACAATGTGCACATGTACCCTAAAACTTAAAGTATAATAATAATAAAAATAAAAAAAATTAAAAAAATTAAAAAAAGGATTTTGGCAAAGCAGGTAACATGTTGAATTTCAATATTAGGAATCTTTAAAAATATGAATAATATTTTAATGGTTTAAATATAGAAGTACCTAATATTAACTATAGTTTTAGAAATTTAAAATTTTATTGTCAAAGAATTTTCTATTCTTTTCAGTTGAATTGAAGAAATGCATTTGGCAATTATTTAGCCTATTGGGTAGGTGATATCACTTCTGAGGACAGTCTGAAAGTAAGCACAACTCACCTAGTAAAATTCCATCTGGGTGGCAGTAATGCCGGTGAGTCTTTGGTCTCTGCCCTGATTTCAGTTCCACAGTTCGCTGGTATAAGCAGCCATTTTAATTTCAAATCTCACATATATATGTATAGAATGTTAGAAACAATTTGGAATTCACGATTTGTGTGACTTTAAATCATTTAGCTATTCTAAACCTCAGTTTCCTCATCTGTAACAAAGAAAGAATCTTTCTATTATCACACCTCATGAATTTTATGGTAGAGATCATAGCTTTATAATCTATACAGAATTATATGTTTATAAGCTATTCTGTGGAATTTGTATTCTTCTGCAGAATTTATGGCCCATGGACTTATTTTTTACTATAATAGAAGTTTAGAATTACAGTAGAAAGAGAACAGGGATGGGACTAAAAAGACCTGGATCGTTCAGTTCAGCTTTCTGTGGCTCCATTTCTTCATCTATGTAACGAGTGGACTGGACTCAATGATATCTAAAAATTCTTCCTAGCCCTAAATTTTAACTATAATATAATTTCATGATATCATTATTATTTTACAGGAATTATTTCCTGTGTAAATTCACAAAATGGAGGAAATAGTTTTGCTTTCCCTTCAGATGTCAAGAATGAAACTAGGAGATAATGTGTGAGATCCTTATAAGTATTTGTAATATTATATATACATATAAAATATAGGCACACACATGCTTATGTTTGGTTACATGTTTGAATAAAATATCATGATTATATTATTTTGTGTATTTTATAATTGAAAAAATATAACTAAAACCAAAAACGTGTTTATGTACCAGAATACAATATTTCAGCTACTTTTCATCCAGAATGGAATTTTTTTTGTTGCTTGAATTACTTGTCCAAGTGGCCATGGTTTCTATTATAGGTACTACAATGAATGTGCTTATATGAAGTACACATTTTCTTCATAAGTATAGTGTATATTTGTTAAATGAGTGAAAAATATGACCTGCAGTAAAAAGAAGTAAAATAGCTTGTGTTTTTTATACCCAATGCTAAGTTTGAATATAAAACATTGTGTATAAATAATTTCTATTCAAGGAAAGGACCTCAGGATTAAGCTCCAAATAAAAAGGCACTGGATCTGGAAACACTAGCAGTATTTTTGAAATGTCCAAGGGCTATAAAACAAAGTGGATTTGACTAGAACTGTTTTCAATTTGCACTTGCCTCCTGGGTATCTGTTAAAACCTGCTTATGAATAGACTCTGACTGATTTGTGAAGGGGGTTTGGCTTTTGTTTCATAGCTGTGTGAATCATTCATGTATAAGCCACACCACTTCCCTGTTTTGTTATACATTACACTACAAGTTGTCCTCTGTAATTTAAAAAAACAGTCATTTCATGATGAAACACAAACTAGTGTATGTTGCTTTGGTTAGGTCTGCATGTGAAATAGTTCTGAAATCGTTACTCTGACTACATTATTGAGGGTGCAGGGGACTTTTTGGTGAACTTCATTCTGCTCATAACATTTCTACATTGTCTTTGAAAGTCTCCAACTGATCCCTTAGTTTTCCTCACTGATTTTTCTTTTTGCTCTTCTTCCAAGACCTGGCATTTCACATATTATTTATTTGTCTTAATTTGTTCAGGTTGCTATAACAAAGTACCATAAACTAGATAGCTTATATAAACAACATAAATGAATTTAATATAATTCTGGTGGATGAGAAGTCCAGGATCAAGGTGCTGACAGATTCGGTGTCTGTTGAGGGCTTACTTTCTGGTTCATAGATGGTGCCTTCTCACTGTGTCCTCACATGGTGGAAGGGACTAGCTAGCTCTTTGTGGTCTCTTGTCTAAAGGCACTAATCCAATCCATAAGGGCTATAACCTCATGGCCTACTCATCTCTCAGAAGCCAACAGCCTAATATCATTACATTGTTGATGAGATTTCAACATATGAATTTGGGAGGAGGGGGTCACAAACAGTGAATAATCCTTCATTCTCTCTGCTTTTTGCTCTGTTCTTCTCAGGTATGCTAATGATTGTAACCACAGCTCTATGAATCACCAGCTCCAAGTCTTTGTGGATATCAGGAAAATATTTACAGCTGTCTTCTGGACACTACTACTTGAATAATCCACATTTACCTTTAAGTACCCTGTCTTAAACCTAAGTCTTCACTTCTGCAGATTCCTGTGGCAGTGTTCCCCAGATTCCCGCTGCAGTGTTCCCCAGATGCCCACTGCTCCGTTCCCCAGATTGCTGCTGCAGTGTTCCCCAGATTCCTACTGCAGTGTTCCCCAGATGCCCGCTGCAGTGTTCCCCAGATGCCCGCTGCAGTGTTTTCCAGATTCCTGCTGCAGCGCTACTTTTCTTCTCCCCACCTGCCTCGCAACACTCTTTTCATTCTCTCTAGAGATATTGCATAAGTTTTGCTCCCCCTCATCTTGATTTTAATAGTCATTGGTTTTTTCAGACTGTGTTAATATTTTCCTTATCTAAATGAGTAGTCTGCTAAGAGCTCTCCTTACCACTGGTTCATCTCTAGTCAACCTTTGGACATGCAACCAGATTAGTTGTAACCTTACTGCTTAAACAGTTTGTATGGTCACTTAGTGTTTAAAGTCCTTCATAACCTGACCCAAATTAATTTTTGATATTCATTTTTCCCCTTTCTTGGACTCCTCATTTATCTTAATTTGGAAGAAGCTGCTGCTAAGTCTACCAAAATCTACTTTATTCTTCTTCCTAGGAACAAGGCAAGGCTAGGGATTCTTTACAGTTAAGATATGGCAATATAATTAACTTGCTGATAATGAAATGAGAGAAAGTGCTGTGTTACACCTCTGGGGTTATAAGCTGAGACATCAGGTATATTTTCCCGCATTTGCTTCCTACTGACTGGAATCCAAGGCAACCATGTGGCCATGGAGAAGATGACAGTGGGAGCAATTTAAATCCCTTAGTAACTAAATGGGATGGAGCTGTCCCCATCAGTATTTAATCTTTACCTTGGTATGATTTTATGGAAGCAAAGTAGAATCTTTTTCTTTAAGCCACTAAGTTTTTTGTAGTCTCATGCTTCTAATTAATATTTCTTAATTTTTCATATAAACATTCTGTTTTGTTCCTAGGAATTCCATATCTTGGCAGAATGGTGATAACCAAAAAGCCTCATGTTAGTCAATGAAACCTTCTCCAAGAATAGCAAATATCTTTCTGTAGATATACTGCTTATCTTATATTCTGGCATTAGAGATAACCTCTACTGCCATCGTAGGGGAATTAAAACTATAAGCTGGTCCCTGGATTGCTGGAATATGTCCGATGCCTCCAATTCTAGCTTCCATATGTTAGGATATAACTTAAGTTGTTTTAACAGACCAAAAGAGAAAGTGGCTTAAACAAGAAAGGTGCTTATTTCTCTAGTGACCGTCCCAAACAGTCCTATACAGGGGGATAGAGCAATTGTATTCTACAAGATGCTTCTTCAGTCTTGTAGTTCTGCTATTCTTGGATATATTGCCATTGTTCACATGGCAAACATGTGTCTTCAATGCTACATTCCCTTTTCAGTTAGTAAGAGGGGAGGAGAAGGAGGAGGGTCCAACTATTCATATTAAGGTTCTATGACCTGTAACTTGCAGATGTAACTTCTGTCCAGATTCCATTGTTCAGAACTTGATGTCCTGGTCAGATCTACCTACAGTGGTGGCTGGGAAGTGTACTCATTGATTATTAATAAAGAACCATGAGCCCAGTTCAAGCTTGGTTGGTTTCATAACTAAAAGGAAAAAGAGATAATGAGTTTCGGGGGAAACTAGTGGTACATATATACCATGGCATACTATGCAGCCACAAAAAAGCACAGAATAATGTCCTGTAGTGGAAACATAAATGCAGCTGAAAGCCATTATCCTAAGCCATTACTAATGCAGAAACAAAAAACCAAATACTGCATGTTCTCACTTACCAGTGGGAGCTAAACATTGAGTACTCATGGACATAAAGATGAGAACAGCAGACACGGGGAACTACTAGAGGAAACAATGTGAGGTGAGTGCAAGGACTGAAAAACTATCTATTGGGTACTATGCTCACTGCCTGGGTGATGGAATCAATTGTACCCTAAACCTCAGCATCATACAATATACCCATTTGGTAAGCCTGCACATATACCCCCTGAATCTAAAATAAAAGTTGAAAATTTTAAAAAATGAAATAAAGTGTGACGATCCTTTATGTTGTATAGATAATGATGTAGACACTGGATTGCGTCTTTTACATTTATTTGGTTATTTATTTCTCACCTCTATTTGGACAAAAAGTCCTCCAGAGAAAATTCTATTTCTTAGCCTATTTTCAGCCTCAGAAGTTAACATGGTTTCTGGAATATAGTAGGTATGCAATACATGCCTCTTTAAAGATCTAAGAATATTCTCTTAAATATTTCTAGTAGAAGAGTGAATTGTTTAACCACTTTGTAAAAACAATCTGGCAGTGTTTACATAGTCTACTGTATGAATCAGTAATTTCATTTCTAGTCATATATCAGACATAAATGCATCAGCATGTGTGCCCAGAGTCATGGATGAAAACGTCCATGGCAACATTGTTTATAGCAGCTGAAGAATGAGGAATGAAGCACAAATTTCTATCAATATTATAATGGATAGATTGTGGTGTATTAATGCAATAGAATTCTGTACAGTTATAGAAATGAACAAACTATAGCTTAATGAAATAACTTGGATAAATATGTCCTCCACCAAAAAGAGCAGAAACATTAAAAAACTCCACACTACATGTTCCTACCTGGGTTATGTTCCATCCTATGTTAGAAATTAGGATTGTGGTTTCCTTGGGAGATGAAGGAAAGGGTAGTAACCAGGAAGGATAATGAAGATGAGGTTCTGATGTACTGACTGTGTTTCATTTATTGATTTATTAGTTGCATGTATATATTGTGATAAATAATTGAATTTTGTGTTTTATACTTCAGCAAATAATGTTAATAAATTAGTAACTGCATGATTGATATGCTCAGTGAAAAAGGATCTAGAACAGGTCAGTTATAAATTGTTGCCATGGCTTTTTGGATGGGTGTCCTGGGATAAATACTCAACCTCCCTGAGTCTCTCTTCCTACCTCTTCTCACAGAGGAGAAAGAAGATTTGTCTGTGATTTCCAAAGTTTATTCCAGATCTGGCATTCTATGCAGAAATCAGAAAGAGATGAAATGACTCTGTTTCATATCTTTTTTTGAGACTGCCTTACACAGTAGCTCAGGGCAAATTAAAAGAAAAGAAAATCTAACTTTTTGCATGTTCATGCTTAAACCAAGTCAATGTTCTGAGACACCGATAACAGGCAGCCTAAATGATAAATCTATTATGAAGTATTTACATTACTATTACTTTGAATATACTGTAGTTTTTCCAGTTGGCATAGTGAAAAGGTGCATCACTCACCATAATACGTAGAGCAAACATCATGTTGTAGTTCTCAATCTTTGGGGTTTTACATTTCAGTATCCCTTATCTGAAATGCTGGGGACCAGAAGTATTTCAGATTTCAGATTTTTTTAGGGGAATGTTTGCATTATATTACCCAGCTGAGCATCCCTAATCCAAAAATTCGAAATCCAAAATGTTCCAATGAGCATTTCCTTTGAACATCATGTGGGCACTCAAAAAATTCAGATTTTGGAGCATTTTGGATTTCAAATTTTCAGAGAATGGATACTCAACCTATAGTGAGAATTTACCATAAATAGAAATCAGCAGCCTCAATAATTTCAGTCCATGAAACATTTAAAACCAAGACCAATGTACAACTCTTGGTCTTGTACAATGTTGGTGTTGTACAATGTACAACAAAACCAATGTACAACTCTTCAAAATAAAAATGAAAGTCCTGTAATGATGACAGTCAGCACTTAAATCATTCCCAAGTACCAGCTTATACTTTTAAATAAAATGCAAATTGATATTGTTTTACTGATAATTAAGGGCAAAGCTTCAATTATTGGGCTTTTTAAAAAATCCATTTTCAGCTAGAGTTGTTTGTACATTTTATGGTGTAGATATAGCCAGAGTAGGATTTAGTTGGAATTTTTCAGATTACATAATTATTTAATCTACTTTTGTCCAACTTTGCTTTGTCTTTATAGAACTAACAGTAGCATTGGTGATAGAACATATGATAATCTTGCCTTTCTTGATTATACTGCATATGGAGTTATTAGTCCTGACTCTGCTCCTGTAATCTAGAATATAAGTTAAAGGAAAATGTTTTGGAAATTCCTGACAACTAGTGAGATGAAAAATCACCTTTAAATATGAAGTATGTATTTTGAATTCTACAAACATTACTGCTATGGTACCTTGTTTTGTACAAGTTATATATTAGATACACAATTTAATAGTATAACAAATCCCCTAGAATAGTAGAGGAGAGAGGAATCTTCCCCTGATATGTTTTTGTAATACTTCTTCCTCCTCTTCAGTCAATAGGGAAATGTTTGTTGAAAGACTACTTTGCAGACATTTAGAAAGATACAGAGTAAGTGTAAGATGTCCCTCCTTGTCCTTGAGGAGTCTCTAGTCAGGCACAGGTAGGACTAAATGAAAAACAACTACAGAACTAAGTAGAAGAGTGTACAATAATATGGGGAATGTGGAACAAGTTATACGATTAATAGAAATTCAGAAAGAAGGATGATTATTCTGGACAGTCATAATCTCAGGTGATTTCAGGAGGAAAATGAGCTCTTAAAAATAACTAACTGTGTTTTGCCTGCGATGAAGGCGGGGCAGGTGTTCAGGCAGTGCAAATACATGGAGTCAGTCAGAAGTCCTATTGATCTTTTCTTTGTAGAGGCTCTCATAGATGTTCTTACCTTCTTTCTCAGTAGGTGAGGTTACCTCTTAACTCACCGAGACCATCAAAGCTTTCTGGCCTGAGTTCCCTCATCTGAAACAGTTCAATATTGTCTCTTCTTCTCATTTACATAGCTCTATAGTTTCCTGTGTTCTTTTCTCTCTCCTGCTGGTCTTTGAGGAAGCGGTATCAGTATTTAATTCTTGGTCCCTTTTTTTACCCTTTCTGACACTGTCCCTGAGTAACCTTTCCAGATTCTTCCATTTCTTACTCTCCACTGAAAAATGTATGTGGTACTCTTGAAAGTTAAGAAATAAAAATAAAGATTTGGCTTATTTATTTCTTCATTTTATTATGATATTTGCTGGATTCTGCTTGATAGTTAACAGTGGAACTGTAAGTATATCCCCTACTCTAAACTCACTGAGGGCAGCACATGTATTTTTTATCCTTATTTTCTCTCATTGTACCATGCACATAGCAGATGAGTAATATTGGATAAATAAGAGACTATACATTTCTTCATGCTTCATCATTTTTTTTCTTTCATCCTTTCTTCCATTCATTTATCTGTCCTTTGAATAGTCAAAGGATTTTAGGTAGTCTATGAAAATAATCTAAAAAGTAAGAGAACAATAAAAACATAAATACTCATTTTAAATGTTTTTTCATTTATCTTGAATAAATTTCATTTGATCTACTAACCCTACTCACCTCTCTTCTATATTACTTCACTCTGCCCAACCAATGCACATCTTAAAAATGAGCAGTACCCTTGCAGCCTTCATTTTATCATCACCCACTCAATCTTGAAACTCTCTAGTTTGACAATATCTGAAAAGCTACTCTCCTGAAATTGCTTCCTCCAAGGTCACTCAAGAATATATACTTAAAAATTCAAAACACTTTTATCATTTTTCACTCTCTGCTTTGTGGCATACAACAGTATTCTACTCGTTTCTTAAATGCGTTATCTTCCAGCTTACCCTCCCTGAGGGTTGCTGTCATAGCTCTCTGCATAAGTTTGGCTGCTCCATCTCCATCACAAGTACTGGCTGCTCTTTTCCCCCGGCTTCCTAAGCTTTGGTAAGTGATTAAGACTTAGGCATTTGTGACTTGCCTTCTCTCTCTTCTCTTTCCTTCAGAGATTTTATTTAATTCCAGTGAGACCCTCAATGTCCATAATGACAGCCAGATTTCCATTCACTTCTCCTGCAGCATCCAGTAGGTCAATGAAGAATTACTCTTCAATGACTCTGTTCCATTTACAAATCAACATGTGTGGAGTAGAGAAGTTTGGCCTTTTCTGTCTTTCTTTTTTTTTTTTTTTTTTTTTTTTTTTTGAGAAAGAGTCTTGTTCTTTTGCCCAGGCTGGAGTGCAGTGGTGCAATCTTGGCTCACTGCAAGCTCCGCCTCCCGGGTTCACGCCATTCTCCTGCCTCAGCCTCCTGAGTAGCTGGGACTACAGGTGTCCGCCAACCTGCCCGGCTAATTTTTTCTATTTTTTAGTAGAGACGGGGTTTCACCGTGTTAGCCAGGATGGTCCCGATCTCCTGACCTTGTGATCTGCCCGCCTCGGCCTCCCAAAGTGCTGGGATTACAGGCGTGAGCCACCGCGCCCAGCCTTTCTTTCTTGATAGCATTGTTAGCCAGTCATCGAGGTTTTAACGTTTGGGGACTTTTTTTTTTTTTTAATTTCTCCCTTTCATTTTCCTTTCATTTTGCATCACCAGTGCTTTCATTAGATTTTCTTTTCCTCTGATTATTTTCTTTCTCCTGTCTTCCCTTTGCACCACTCTGGTGAAGGTCTTCATTCCTCACCAGTCTGCTATGAACATTTCCAACAGATCTCCCTACATTTATTTTACTTACTTCCATCAGGCCTCTATGAATTAAACCCCACGACATACCTATCTCCTCAAAATACTTTACTGTCTGTCTGTTACCAACATCAGCAATTCTTAGCCCTGATCATCGCAATTATCTGTCAGGGCCAGCTGCATAATTTGCAGGGCCCAGTGAAGAATGAAAATATGGGACCCCTTGTTCAAAAGCAGAAAAAAGTATCATTAAAGGAACTAGAAAATTTAAACTTTCCTGATTTTCCATGGCCTTTCACTCAACTTGTCATGATGTTTTATTTCAAATTTGTATTTAATGTTGCATTAAGAAAAATTTAAATTTTAAATTGTTAACATATATTTTACTGTTCATCTCTATATTTTGCAGTGACCATTCTAAATGCAAATAAGACCATTTAACTTATTTGCATAAACAGTAATGTTACACAGTATATAGTTTGTAGCTTATATGTACATATATATTTCTCTCTTGTCAGAACAGTGGAAATGTGGCACAAAACTATCTCAACTGATTTAACTTTTTGCTTTGGTCTCATTTACCAACAGTTTAACTTATCTTACAGATGAATAAAGAAGACTGAAAAGCAAAGAAACTACGGGTTCCTTTGTCTTTCTCTTTCCTTCTCTGTTATTTTCAGTTGGCTAATACAGAAAAGTAGCGTGAGCAAGAAAGGATATGACAAGGTTCTTTGGTCATTTCTATCACCTAGAATGCCATTGCTTCCTTTCTACCCTCAAAGCAATTCTGGTTCAAGCAGAAAGCTTGGCCTTTTGGGGGCTGTCAGCACCCCCATTTACCCAGTCATAGGCGTAGCCCTTACCTTGTACTCACTTTGAGTCTTGCTGAACTCCCACTTATTTTGAGCTCCCTGGAATTCAGTGCTCACGGGTCATTTTGTACTCTACATGTGAATGGAGTAAGAAGGAATGGCAGCAGACAAAATTACTGATAAAATTATTAAGAATTTCATGACAGCTACAGGAGAGTATTAAGCCAAACATGGGGCTTTGGGAGATGGCACAGTCTGAATGCCCATGAAGCCACTACTGTTTGTATGGATCCTTTAAAAAATAGTCTCCAGCCTCAGCCTCTGTTAATCACAGTCTCCAGGGAGGGGTCTAGACATATGTATCTGAAATCAACAACAACTACTGCAACAACTTCACAAGTGATTTTATGAGCTGATATAAAAGTCTGTAATCTCTTAGGCTAGCATTAGAAGATCTTTATAATCAATTCCTTAACTACTTGCTTAATTTTATCACATTACTGTCTACTTTGAGCCCTTGCCTATGACTCCATAGAATTATTTGATGTCTCTGGTTATATTTTGTGTTTTGGTCCACCCTGTGATGCTCATGCCATTATCCTCAATCTCAGTGCTCATTCTCTCCTTACTACTTATGGGAATTATGCTATCATTTCTCTTAAACACATATCAAAGCCTAAGTCCTCTCTAAAACCTTCCCCCACTACTCCAGCCCACAGTGAATCCTCCTTTTCCTCAGTTTTTATAGGACTTAGGTTCTAGCCATTTATTTTATGCACATTATTCTGTAGTGTGCCATTACTTATTCTTTTATGTGCATGTTCTTTCTTCCTCACTAGACTCAGGGTTTCTTTAGTACTTGGTATTCTGTTGAGGCTTAAAATGGCCATGCTAGGATCTAAGAGTTATGATAGTTCCTAGAAAATCTTAAGGAATAAATAACTCTAAAAAATAAGCTGGCTTCTATTTCCTAATTTGATTGGACCACAGTACTTTTCAGGAAGGAATTTACATTCAAAATGTATTTTTGGCCAGTCACCGTGACAGTGCTTTTAAAATTATTTAATTTCTGAAATTTAAATAAAATTAGTAAAATTCATCTGAAATGTGATGCCTTAGCTGTGCTGTTACAAGTCTCTAGAAAAGTTGTAAAATCTATTTTCTACATTTTTTCCCTTTCCAAATGAGTAGTTTGAGTAGTTTTCCTAAAAGACAGAATTTTCAAACAAAATTAAGAAACTGTCTTCAATGAATAAAAAGGTAACTTTATCAGACTGACATCTGTAAACTTAATTTGGAGCCAGAAAGAACAGATATAATTGAAATATATATTATATATATATTTCTATATATATATTTGGAATATATAGATATTTCATATATATATTGAAATAAATATGTTAAATATATATTTATTGAAAAATATATTAAATACATATATTTAAAAATAAATATATTAAATAAATAAATATATTTATATATTTACTTAATCTTTCTTGTTTTTTGGTGAAAACAAGTGGCAATGTAGTGTGACCTTATACAAAGATATCTTTCTTGGGGAGGTGTGAAATTATGAGGTGGTATCCAAGTGTTTGGCTTAGAATGTCTGTCATGACTGTCAAAGCCATTAATTTATAAAGTGAAATTAGAAAGTAATGTGTTTCTCCCAAACACACCAATGTGCATGCATGTGATATTCTTACAATACATTAATTAACATCATCACTTTTTTTTATAAACTATCAGTATATCTAGATAATTTATAAGGCCCTCTTCCAGCTTCAAATGTTATTTTATAAATTTTTGAATGTGTTAAGTTTAAGAGTGTATTTGATTAAGGCTTAGTGCTAATGGAAATCTTATTAAATGTTATTAGAAAAAAGATTTCTTTAAAAAGATAAATATGTTCCAATACTATACTAATTTTAGAAAAATAAATTTAATCTTTTTATATCAGTTATCTAATGTCATTTAATCATATAGATAAAAGGTCTTTAAGTTCTAACAGAGTTAATACAGGATCGTCATCTAATTCAAATATTAAAATTTAATTTTCCAACCATGGAAACTGTGCTACATTTATATTAATAATCACTGGAAGTATTCTGGAGGTTCTTTTGTGCTTTTTTCTTAGGCATTTAAGGAGACTGGTGAATAGCCATACTTGCCATGGCTATTTTTTTGTTCACTCTTTCTTTAGGGAAAAAAATAGACAAGAAAAAGCATAAAAGAATAAAAAGAAATGCATCCTTGCTGTGGTGTTTCATGACATTTCTGCACTTGAACATCTGGAAAGCCTAGTGTGACAGTGACAACCGAATTGACAAAGTTGCTGACTGCATCCACTATTACAAAAAAATATGGGCACTAAAAGCGCCACTTTAATTCTGAAAAGCTCAATACAGTGTCTCTTCATTTTGGCCTTGAAGATAGAAAGAGAAACCACATTTATTTTGAAGATGCATTCTGAGCATTGTGCATCGCACACATTGGAAAACAACAGCTCCAAAGAAAGGAACATGCATTATAGGAAAAGAGAAGAGAGCAGCTGTGGAACTCGGTCTAATTGCGGACCCTAGATGGGTTTGATAATCAAATGACTATTCTGCATAAACTAGAAGTAAAATGGCAAAACATTAATTACTCCTATTATTGCTTTTATATATTGAGATGTGGGACAAAATGCATAATACATTTTAAGAACAGAATCTAAAGGAAAAGAAAAATTTCTACATGGAAATATCTGCAGTGTCAAAGAAAAGATGCCACAGGAAGAAAGCAGCCCTAAAATAAAATGCCGACAGGCATAAAACAAAAGTTATATATCTATAATATGCTATAATTTAACGAAGATACAAAATGAAGAGGAGTAATAATATAAAGATAATGTATTAAGTCTTTAAATGAAGACAAAATGTACATTGAAATATTTTGGTTAACTGGCAGGAACTAAACAAGACTTTTGATGTTAGGGCTGATTATGCTGAAGTGTTGTTATTTGTGTGCCACTAAATTTTATGATTTACCTCCACAAATTGCATGAGCAATTTATGGAACTATCATCCAGTGAACAAAAGACAGGATAACAAAATGAATTAATATTACAGTACATGGTGTTCAATACTATTATTCTAGTGGGAATACTCTCGGTCTGAACTGATCCAGCAGTTTTTGTGAAATGTAAACCTCTTCAATACAAATGGGCATTCATTACTGAAATCTGGCCATAAGTAAAAACTGAAACCTAATTATTCCCTGTTAAGTTCTAGAGAAAAAACAATCAGGTCTGTGACTACTGTACTCTGTCACACTTCAAAAATAGCGGCCAGCTCCAAAAATCTAGGAGCAGCAAACCACCACCACCACCACAAAATGATTTGCTGTTCTGCTATTAGGTTTTTGGAAATGTGTGTTATTAAGGATATTTTAACATAATAGGTATATGAGCCTTAAGAAGCCCAAGTCTAGTCTCTGCCTCATACCTCAGGAATCACCTCTTCTACTCTGGAAAGTTAAAACCATGCTTTGAGTTAGAGTAAATTTATCACTAAATTCAACTTAACTCATTGGATGTGTCTTGATTTCTAGAAAAGATTTTGATTTGTTCAGGACTTCTCTGTTCATAAGCAGCACAATTGGAAATGGACTCCAGGTATCTCTATGCCAAGTACAGTCATCTTCCATTTACTCTTCTAATTAAATTTGAATGCTTTCTTTTAAAACTTGAGATTGAGCCCATGCATTGACACTTATTTGCTCCAGTTTATATAATAAAAACATTGAGAGTGTACGACTGCGTGTGAAAAGAAGAACAACGTTTTCTATAAATTGCTTCATCATTACTTACGGATCAATAAATATGTGCTGATAAATTACACATTAAGGACTCAACCATTTATGAAAAATAATAGTAAATATCTGCATTTCTCTGAGCCATTGACTACATAGCTAGGGACGGCCTGCAGTGGTAAGCTCTGCTAATTCGTGACTTGATGCCCATTTTCCCTGCCCTCATTCTTAATAGAGCCCAATTTGTTTGGGGTATCAATGTGAGCAGCACAAGCAATGAACTGTTATCTAGCTCAGTTAATCTTGACAGTACTTTTCCTCAATTTCACAGCCTTCTTTGTAGCTGTAGATGTCCATGTGCTCCCTTCAAGCTGCTCCAAGAGTTTCTTGAAGAGTGTTTGTTTTCATTATGAATGGGGTCAGTTGTAGCCAGCAGTGTCCTTTCTCCTCCCTTGCTCCTCTTGGGCCTTGAACATACACGAAAAGGTCAAGAATCCCTGAAATCTCAGTCCTGATATGTTTGAGTTGCTGAACCGCTGATAGCAGCCACCTACCTCCATCCAGTCTTCTTTGGTGAGAAAAACAAAACTCTATTTGTTCAAGCTACTGCTAGCTGAATTTTCTGTCACTTGCAGTCTAATGCATTGCTAAATAAGATTTCATGGCTTAGAATTGAATAAGCTCATTTTAAACACTAGGGGAAGAGATTTTAAAAAGGGAAGGGCAGATGCCATGAAAACATACTTAAAAAGTTATTTTGACTTCTTAGAAGTTTATTTGAACACTTCATGTTTCACTGTGATTGTCTTTACAATTCTTCAGTCAAGTGGCCAGAGATAGAACAATTTGCAATTGCCGTGAAACCAGAACTCATTTGCAAGGGTTATATATATATATATATATATATATATATATATATATATATATATATATATATATACACACACACACACACGCATATTATACATAATATATAATATATATTTATATATAATATATTATATATATTTATATATTATATTTTTTATATATTATATATTTATATATTTTTATATATTATATATATTTATATAGTTTTTATATATTATATATATTTTTATATATTATATATATTTTATATATTATATATAATTTTTTCCCTATGGCAGACTCAGAGAATGGCCTGCATTTATTGACTATTGCAATCCTACTTGATACTAAAAATATGGGAGAAAGAGTCCATCTATAGAATCATGGAAAGTTAGACTGGTAACTGTCTTAACCTAGCCAGACTCTGTTGAATATATTAGGAATTAAGCAGTATATGTTTGTGAAGGAACAGTGGACATTGCTATGCAGAACTCATCCATATGGTGGGTTAGTTCTTAAGCAACAGTCATTAATCTTGCCTAGAATATTCAAAGAGCATGGTAAAGTCCAGCCCTATCTCTCAGGAAATAAAATTTTGGTGACTAAGATAAGGCAAAGGGAGGTTTTAAGAATCAGGCAATGATTCTGGGATGTCAGGAGACATTATAGCTGTAGTTGATTTTCAGAACAGATTACGAGTCAGACTTTAGAAGTATAAGTAAAAGGATCTAGAAAATGGAAGCAAGAGTTTGCAAGGATCTAGACACAATGTTAAGACTCCAACCAAGAGGCTTGGGGTTCTGAATAAGTCTCTAATTTTAATGAAGTCATAGAGTGCCAATCAGGAAACTGAACTGGAGCCCAAAAATAAAGATAGTTGCAGAGAGTGCAGGGGTGGCACTTAGCACACAGGGGCTCAGTGTTCAATATACATACCAAGTGTTAGTCTGCGCAGGTAAACTAATGCCTTACCCCGCACACTCTTCAAGTTGAGATTTGTAACACCAGTGGACCCATTTACATATCCTCATAACCCATTTACTCTGGGCAGCACATTCCACAAAACAGAGATACTAACTAGCAATACTTATGGTAGTTTCTGCTTAAGCTGCTGACTTTCATTCATTGTAAAATGTGACTCATGGATAGATACATATGTATGACCACCAATACATAAATTATAAATGAAGAAAAAATCATATGGCCAGTAGTTTACTGGGAATAATGCACTCTGATATTTTCTATCATATTCAATTTTTTACTATTACTTACTGAAAACAAAAAAAAAGTTGTGATTGACAAAACTGATTTTTGACCCATTAATAAGTAGATCAGAACCTACAGTTTGAAAATGCTGCCTTAGTTCCTATGAAGATGAATTCTTCGTTCCCAATTGTGCTATTCCATCTCCAGTTTTTCAAGTCATGATTCTTCCAGCCACACTTTTTTTTTCCAGTTATTGCAAGTGTGTGTTGTCCCAGCGGTGCTCTCCATAATGACAGAATTCTTCTACCAATGCTAAACTCCTTGAAGATTGTTACTTAATTTTTATTCAACCATTTGCAAGAAGAAACCTGGAGCCTTCTTAACATAGGCATGCTGAAACCCAGTGATAGGCAGTTTCTTTGTGTTTTCTGGTAGCAGGTCTAGCCTCTATTTGTCAGTCATTTATGGGCCCAGAGTGCTTAATTAGTGGCAGAAAGGGACATAATAGTGAGAGAAGCATACATTAAAAAATTACTTGACCCAGGATAAGGATGTGGAACACTGTTGGCTGAGAGTGCTAGGAATCTGCTGCTCGTGAGACAAAATTCCAGTTTAGTTGGCCAGGCTAACCACCATTGGCTAGAATCATACAAAAACACTTAAAGCACAAAAAAATCACGTAAGCTGTGCTCTGAATGCCCTACACTTACATGTATTTTATGTGTGTGTTTGGTTTGTGTGTGTGTGTGTGTGTGTGCCTGTGTGTGTATATATATATATGTGTATGTGTATGTGTGTATATGTATATATATAGATACACACACACACACACAGTCATGCATCATTTAATGACAGGGATTGAGAAATGTGTTGTGACATGATTTTGTCATTGTGTGAACATCATAGAGAGTACTTACACAAACCTAGATGGTACAGCCTACTACACATCTAGGGCATATGATATAGCATTTTGCTCCCAGGCTACAAGCCTGTATAGCATGTTACTATATTGTAGGCACTTGTAACACAAAGATAAGTATGTATGTATCCTGTATCCAAACATATCTAAACACAGAAAAGCTACAGGTAAAAATGTGATATAAAAGATTTAAAATGGTACATCTGTATAGAGCATTTGCCATGAATGGAGCTTGTAGGACTGGACGTTGCTTTGAGTGAGTGAGTGAGTCACGGTGAGTGAATGCGAAGGCCTAGGACATTACTGTACACTAAGATTTTATAAACACTGTACACTTAGGCTGCACTAAATTTATTTAAAAAATTTTTCATTCTTCAATAATAAATTAACCTTAGCTTGCTGTAATATTTTTACTTTATAAAATTTTTCATTTTTAAACTTTTGATTCTTTTGTAATAAAGTTTAGCTTAAAATACACATTGTACAGCTCTACGAATTTTTTATTTCTTTATGTCCTTAATTTATAAGCGTTTTGCTATTTTAAAATTTTTATTTTATTTTTTACTTTTTAAACTTTTTTGGTTAAAAACGAAGACACAAACCCACACATTAGCCTAGGCCTCTCCAGGGTCAAGGCCACCAATAGCACTGTCCTCCACCTTTATATCTTACACCACTGGAAGGTCTTCAGGGGCAATAACATGTAGAGCTGATAACAAGTCTGCCCTGATAACATTTCGTTCCGGGATTCTTCCTGAAGGACTGCTTGATGCTGTTTTATACTTAATATTTTTTTTTTATTAGTGGAAGGGGTACACTCTAAAATTACAATAAATTATATTATAATAATTAGGTAAACCAGTCATATAGTCATTTATTATCATAATCAAGTGTTATATATACTGTACATAATTGTATTTGTTGTATTTTTGTCCCATGGCAGCACAGATTTGTATACCGCAGTGTTACCACAAACACATGAGTAATGCCTCTCACCGCTATGTTATGATGGTGTTGATAGAAATTTTTCAGCCCCATTATAATCTTACGAGATCACCATCATATATATAAGTCGTTGACTTAAACATCATTTTATGGTGCACGACTATGTATATAAATATATAAAGAAGGTACTTCAAACACAAATATTATAATCAGCACAGCAGCATCAAGCAAAACAATTCATCTGCCCTGCTGTTACATGCATAGCTTCCAGGAATAGCATTTCCAAGAATCTGTTGCTCTGCTTCGGGGTTCAGAAAGAAGCCTGGATAAAAGATGTATGAGAAATTCCCCATGATTGGCTTTTGTATCTATGGCGTCAATTCTTCCCTTTCCTGTCATACTTTAGGCATGCACCCATAAATTGTTGCTGTGTGCCACCTCTTTTTTTTACCAATCCCTTCCCTGCAGATTCTATCCTTGGACTTCAGCTTCAGTTTGACTTGACTTTATACTCTGTGGTTCTGCAATCCACCCCCAAAGCATCAGAAATAGCTGTAAAATAGCTAGTATGTAGCACTCTAAAGATGCAGCATTATTAAATAGCTAGTTGACTTTTGCTAACATCATCATTTTATGTGTCTAAAATTAGATCACTTTATTTTTTACGTATTGCTGATGAGTCCTAAGAACAGTTGTCCCAATGGTTTCATAGTCTAAAATTTGTTACTGAGGAGCACATGAGAAATTATTTTTTCATTTATGAAATGGAATGAAAATTGAGCATATTGGAACAGAATGTTCATTTACATTTTAAGTCAGCAGAATAGGAATAATCAAATGAATGACTAATACTAATAGAATAATACGTAATACTGATATTTAATAATTAAATAAAAGAGTTAAAGAGTTAAAGAGTTTTCCTGCTTATAGTTGTAGACATTGAAGAATTTGTTTAAGAGCATGATAAAATTAAAATAAACCCTTTTTAAAAAATTGTCCCTGGAGTAAAGTTCTGCATTACACTAATGAGGTACTGTTGGAGATTTTATATTCTTAAGTTACATTCATTGATTTTTACTTTTGACGCAAGACTAAATTTTACCCTGGAGCTCAGTATTATTTTCTGCCATGTGTTAATTTCTTGCATGAATGCCTTATTTACCTTCATTTAGACTATGCTGCAGGTGGAATGCGAGCAGTACTTATTGCTGATATTTTTGTTGGCCAAAGCTGAAGGACATCTCAGGGTCTTGAATAGCTCTAGGGTTTCATGACTATGAAGGCGATTTCAAGGTTTGACTTGTCATCGTGGAAGACTGGCTTCTTAAACATAATCCTATGAGCCATGATTTAAATTAACAAACCTTATCAATAGCTTCACAACAGTTGGCATCTGTTTTAAAGGACTCACTTTTTATTTAAGATTGCATTGTAACCACAACTCAGTTCATCCTGTAGGAGTGCTCATTGATACAATAATTGAGTCAAGTACTCTTACTAAACGATTATTAGGTTTTAGCTGCTGTGTTATAAGCTATATTTTCTCTCTTAAAGCAGTCAGTTTATAGCATATTATTCAATCCCATGTGCATTACAAAACTTATGGCCATAAAATTTACAGTGTGGTTTGTTTTAATTCAAATGCATTTACGTTGATAGTTTTAATAATTACACGTTTCTATCAAGAGTAGTTGGAAAGGAATACAGTTGATAAACTATTATAATAGTTAACAGCCACTGGGCTTATAAAAGAACCTATGGTTATCTCTGAGCTATAATTGGTAAGTGTGTACAATACAACCAGATTTTTCTAAGGTGCTTATCACCTATTAAATATGCCTATTATTCTTTCCTCAAATACTTGAATATTGGGACAGATATATACAGCTTGTTTTCACCCTAAATAGTAAGTTACTGTTTCAAAACATTTTCTTGTGACTTGTGTTATTATCTGACTCCTTTAGGAAAACTGTCATTGCAAAGATATGATAAAATCATCTTTAAGAATCCTAGTATTCTCCTGGAGGTGATTCTTTGTCCCCTTGTGGAAAGGGGACAGTGCTTTGGCATAGGCAATCTTGGATTCAGCTCCTGACTATGCTTCTTAAAAGCAGCCTCAGTCAGTCTTCCAGTTTTTAAAATAGAAATAAGTACCCATGTCAATGGGTTGTTGGAAAGATTTTAGGAGATAACATATGAAGTATCTGACTCATAGTCATTGCACTGTACTGCTAGTCTTTTTCTATGAAAAGTCACCTTGAGCTTAATAGTTATCACCACTTCATTGAAAATAGACTTTAATGTATACTCAACCTCCTTGGGTATTCCATTGTTCTAGGTATTCAGCTGAACTACTGGAAGAGCAAATTTGGAGATATTTTATAAGGGTCAGAACACTTTAGTTTAATAATACCATTTTAATTTGCCAAATGGTTAGTGATATTGTAATAATGTTAAAAACCAAGCAAACACAAGCACTTTGTTCACAGAGTTGTGTTATTGGTCCTCACTGAATTTAAGTATTTACCAATCATATATCCTTGAGTGAAATTTTAGATAAATATTATTTGCAGGCATTAATTGATTCCAAAGGGAGTCTTTGATGTTCTCTCTATAGTCCTAGGGAATAACTCTGGTTTCTTTAAAAGATTGCTGGACCTAAAGGAAGGAAAAAAGACATGTCAGTCCTTTGTTCTTCTTCAATACTTATACCTTCCCCTGGTTTTTCACTTCTGGAGTGCCTTTCTTAGTTTCTGATGCAAGCAGCAAAACTAGATAGCCTTGTCATCAGCCTTCATTCCAGTTCTGCCATCCCAACCTGGTAGGAATTAGGATAAAAATCACTTCTTCAAATGGCAGATCCTGTGGCTTAGACTATGAAGATTATGAGATTCCCACTTTAACCCCTAATCAGACTTCAGACCTAGTCTCACTTTCTCAAAGGAAACCCTAACCCAGCTTTCCCCTTGACTCCCCACCTTTGTCTTTTAGTACCCTATCCCCACCTCATGTGTAGCCTTCTATTTTGGTCCCACATTCCTCAACTAGTTCAGGAAGTTTCATGGAATCATGTGCTCGTGTTTGGAAATCCTTACTGACAAGCCCTCCTTGGGCTAAATATCATCCAGATAATTGTAGCCTTATTCCACATCCTGTGTTTACTGATGCCTAAAAAAAGAAACATAATCTCTTCTTGGTGACAAACACTTTGATAAGGAAAAATATAAAACTTGAGAAAAAACTTGAGAAACTTTAGAAATATATCTCTTGTTTAATTAGAGAGTTTACTTTGGGATCAAGAAAAAGGATGCAGCAATGACTTGGACTTTTTTTTTATTCAGTAGCAACTTCCAAGCATTATTTCCCATTCTTTTGAAAACTCTTTCACTGAACTTCTTAGGTTAAGGTCATAGCTCTCGATATGGATAGCATTTCACCTTACCCTGTGGGGGATTGATATCTTATCTAAGGGATAAGAGCAGTATTGAATGTGTTTTAGAAACCATCACGTTACCCACCCCCAACACACATGCACACACAGACATATGTAGATTTTATGTATGGAAACTTGCAGATATAGGAATATTTTATATATTTGCACAAAGTTATAAAGTCAGGGAAAAATAGAGGTAGTTCATAAATTGAAGCTATTATTAATGCTGAAGATGATAAGGCACTCACATTGAACTCTAATATTTTCTTCCCTACTTATTAATAATGGTGTTTATGACAGTATTTTAAACCTAGCACAGGGTGCATCTTTTTCATCAATGTCTTCAAGTTCCTGTTTCTGGGTTTACCAAAGCCTCTAACTGGTCAAGATTAGTCCAGCTACTTCCAATGTTGAGGCTCTGGTGCATTAGAAAATGAAGAAATGTCTAATATTCTTATGAAGGATGTGGTATATTAAGAATTTTAATATGAACACTGCTTTCAATTTGTCATGTCAGTGTGTCTGTGACTGTGTGGTAAAATTCAGATAGAGACAACATTAAAATTTAAATCTAAGGGCCTTTAAGAAGGTGAGATCCAGGCTGCATTGCCCTCTAAAGTTCCTCAAAATTAGGCCTGGCACCTTCTTCCTCAATGACTGAGTGACTATGAACATGTACTCTGTGGTCCCAGCAGGTGTTTCTTAAATCTGGCAGTAATGCTGAAGTCAGCTTGGCAGCTTCACCAGGACCACTGTCACTTGGCATGTCCTGCTTTAATGTGTGAAGCTGACTTACTCCCTTCTCCTTTTTGTGTTTTAGCAAGCAGAACTTCATGACTTGTGTTGCCATGAGTTACCCTTGGAAGTGTACCATTTCTACATAACAATTGGATTTCTGAGAAATTCGTCAATTGTGTCAAATTGCAACTTTCAATCAGATATAATTCAAGTGAGATTAAACTATATTTAGAACGTTTAACCCTGATTCCTGTTGGGTAAGACATAAAGAAATCCACTATGGATGACTGAGCCTTCAGCACAATTTCACCCTTAAATTATTAGACTGTAATTTATGGTAACATCTGTTTCTGACACTGTATCATTTCCTTAAACTTAACGTTTTCCTTATGTCAATATCAAGTTCATTCCATTTTTATTATGGCATTGGAGAATAATGTATAATTAGTAACAGTTATTTGAAAATCTGTAACCACCTGTATAGTCTTATTTGCATAATAAAAAGGGAGGGTTATCAGCTGCACAACAATGCTGCTCTAGTCTGCTAGGTTAATGAGGAATTCAGTTGGTGAGCAGAGTGAAGTATTTATCTTAAAATTAAAAAGAGCCTTACATTTAAGTAAATGATTTTCAGAATGAACGTCTTCAATTTAGGTGGCACACATCATTAATTTCTCTGAAATTGTTTTGTACATTTGTTTCTTAAATGTTGACTATATAAAATGCCATTAAATATATTTATTTGAAGTAATATGCTCTAGTAGGCATGATGAGGTAAATGTGATTTAACTGAAATTTATACTTGGATTTTTAAATCTAATTTTACATGGAGCTTCAAAATTCTCACTGTGTTAATGAAATTATCACCATGGAAATTTTACAACATGTTTCCCTTAAGGAATTTGAAGTCTTTTCACCATTTTCAGATGATTTGCTTTTTAAAAAAATCAGCTGTCAGATTATGTTGGATGATTATATCATTGATTGTATTACACAAAAGAAAACTGGAATTGAGGAGGCAACCCTGCTGATTTGCTGCTACCTCTACAGAACAAGATCTGATATTGTAATACTGTGATAGAGTAAAACCTATAAATTCTGTAAGCCTAATTGTTTAGATTTCTAGGGTTGATTTTCCTTCTTTCCCCCTGCCTTTTTATTTTGGAAATTGTAAAAGTTTAAGACAGCTGCACCACTGCCCTGGGCATCCAAAAGAGAGTTCTCTGCCACATGGGGGCCTGTGGTGACAGTGGAGCATCACCCCATGAACAGACATCAGGCAGAGGCATCAATCAAAGCCATTGATTGGCAGTCCCTCCCTACTGGGAAACGATCATTCAAGGACAAACCTTGGAGGTTCTAATTGTTGTTATACCCAGGAAGGAAGACCTTTCCTGCTGGAGTCTTTATTGAGCTCTTGTATGTCTGACTTCTCCAAGCTTGGCTTCCTACATTCAGGAACAGGATGGGAGTCGTACTGTGGCGGTCACCTTTCTTCTGTGGGAACCACAGTGCCTTTAGGGATTAGTGATACAATTGATGTGAAAAAAGATAAATGGCTGCATAATGCAGTTATTCTAGCCCTTTGTCTTCAGATCAGGTCTGTGTTCTGGGAAGCTTGTTATCACTAATAGATATCAAAGTTTACACAATACTTGGACTTTTTCTAGATCTGACTATGAACTCATACAGCTTAACCTGAACATATGTTTCCTTGTTTTTCCACAAAAAGCCAGGCTATGTGAAAAGAAGTTAAGGAGAGAGAAAATGCCATTTCAAATATTATATTTGTGTAAAATTAACTTGTATTCTTTCATCTCAAAGCCTCTATGTTGTTTCTTTTTCTTCCCTTCACTCCCCTATACTGTATACCACCAGAATATATCCTGTGTTGCAGAAAGCTTTGATCCAAAGTCCTGTTAGGGCCTTAAAAGCATGTGTCTGAACTGCCTACTTTTTTTAAGCCATAGCCAGAGAACCACAGACATGGGCTTTAAAGGCTTTGTGTTTTAAAGTTTTTTTATTGATACAAATATTTGTACCTATTTATGGGGTACAGGTGATATTTTGTTGCATGCATAGACTGTGCAGTGATTAAGTCATGATATTTTGGGTACCTATCATCTCGAGCATTTATCATTTCTATATGCTGGGAACATTTCAAGTCCTCTGTTACAGCTTTTTTGAAATATACAATAGATTGTTGTTAACTATAGTCACCCTACTCTGCTATCAAACATTAAAACCTATTCCTTCTGTCTAACTGTGTATGTGTACCCATTAACCAAATTCTCTATAATTCTCACAAGCTCTCACCATCTACACACCCTTTTCAGCCTCTGGTATCTCTTATTGTCTACCTCCATGAAATCAACTTTTTTTAGATTCCATATATGAGTGAGAACATATGGTATTTGTCTTTCTATGCCTGGCTTATTTCACTTAACATAATATTTTCCAGTTTTGTCCATATTTCTGCAAAGGACAACATGATTTCATTCTTTTCTTATGGCTGAATAGTGTTTCATTATGTATATGTAGCACATTTTCTTTATCCATTTGTCTATTGATGGACACTTAGGTTGCTTTTATATATTTGCTATTGTGAACAGTGCTGCAATAAACATGGGAGTGCAGGTATCCATTTGATAAACTGATTTCTTTTCCATTGGATAAAAATGAAGTAGTGGGATAGCTGAATCATATGGTAGTTCTATTTTTAGCTTTTTGAGAAATTTCCATACTCTTTTCCATAATTGCTGTACTAATTTACATTTCCACCAATGGAAATTAGTGGATTTCTCAGCATCCTCTCCAGCATCTCTTATTTTGCTGTCTTTTTAATAAAATAATTTTAACTAGAGTAAGATGATATCTCATTGTGGTTTTGATTTGCATTTCCCTGATGATTAGTGATGTTGAACATTTTTTCATATACCTGTTGGCTGTCATCTGAGAAATCTCTATACAAATCGTTTCCCCATCTTAAATGGGATTTTTTTTTTTTTTTTTTTTTTTTTTTTTTTTGCTGTTGAGTTCCTTGTGTATTCTGGATATTAGTCTTTTGTTGGAAGAGTAGTTTACAGATATTTTCTCCCATTGAGCAGATTTTCTCTTTCTCTGTTGATTGTTTGCTCTGCTGTGCAGAAGCTTTTTAGTTTAATATAGTCCTCTTTGACTATTTTTGCTTCTGTTGCCTGTGCTTTTCAGGTCTTAGCGATAAAATGTTTGCCTAGTACAATGTCCTGAAGTGTTTCCCTTATGTTTTATTTTAGTAGTTGTATTGTTTTAGGTCTCACATTTAAGTCTTTAATTCATCTTGAGTTGGTTTTCGGATATAGCAAGAGAAAGGAGTCCAGTTTGTTCTTCTGCATGTGGATATCCAATTTTCTCAGCACCATTTATTGAAGAGGGTATCCTTTCCACAATGTATGTTCTTGATGCCTTTATCAAAAATCAGTTGGCTATAAACACATTGATTTATTTCTGTATTTTCCATTCTGTTCCATTGGTCTATATGCCTGTTTTTATACAAATACCATCCTGTTTTGGTTACTATAGCTTTGCAATATATTTTCAAAAAGAATAAAGATGCAGGCATCATACTACCTGACTTGAGTAAGGTAGTAGTGGGAGGCCTCCAGCTTTGTTCTTTTTGCTCAGGATTTCTTTGGCTATGCAGGGTCTTTTTGGTTTCATATGAATAGTAGTAGTATTTTTTCTATGTCTGTGAAAAACGGCATTGGTAATTTAATAGAGATTTCATTGAATCTGTAGATTGCTTTGGGCAGGATGGTCATTTTAACAATTTTAATCCTTCTGATCCGTGAGCATAGTATGGCTTTCCATTTGTTCCTGTCCTCTTCAGTAACTTTCATGAGTATCTTATAGTTTTCCTTATAGAGGTCTTTCACCCACTTTGTTGAATTTATTCCTACGTATTTGGTTCATTTTGTAACTATTGTAAATGAGATTGCCTTCTTGATTTTTTCTCAGCTAGTTCATTATTGATGTATAAAAATGCTACTGATTTTTATATGTTTATTTTGTATCCTGCAACTTTACTGACTTATTTATCGGTTTAAGATTTTTTTGGTGAAATCTTTAGGCTTTTCCAGATACAAGTTTATATCATCTGCAAGGAAGGACAAATTGACTTATTCTTCTTCAATTTTGATGCTTTTTCTTTCTTTCTCTTGCTTGATTGCTCCAGCCAGAACTTTCAGTACTGTATTGAATAAGAGTGGTGAAAGTGGGCATGCTTATTTTGTTCCAGATGTTAGAGGAAAGACTTTCAGCTTTTCCACATTCAATATGTTAGCTGTGGGTTGTCATATGTAGTCTTCACTAAGTTGAGGTATGTTCTTTCATTGCCTAGTTTGTAGAGAGTTTTTATCATGAAGGGATATTGAATTTTATCAAATTTTTTTGCATCTATTGAGATATTTGTGGTTTTGTTCCTCATCCTGTTGATGTGATGCATCATGTTGATTGATTTTCATATGTAGAACCATCCTTGCATCACTGGGATAAATCCCACTTGATCATGGTGTATTATCGTTTTAATGTGCTGTTGGATGTGGTTTGCTTGTATTTTGTTGAGAATTTTTGCATCTATGTTCAGCAGGGATATTGACCTGTAGTTTTAATTTGTGTGTGTGTGCGTGTGTGTGTGCTTTTCTCGTTTTGATACCACAGTAAAACTGGCCTCTTCAAATGACTTAGAGAGAATTTCCTCCTTTCCAATTTTTTAAAACAGTTTGAGAATTGGTGCTAGTTCTTCTTTGAAAGTTTGGTAGAATTTGGCATTGAAGCAATCTGGTCTTAGACTTTTATTTGTGGGAAGTTTATTTTTTATTACTGACAGTCTAATTACTCATTTCTCATTATTGATCTACTCAGGTTTTCTATTTCTTTCTGAAATATAAATTCCTCTGTCAAAGAATTTATCCACTTTCTCTAGGTTTTCTAGTTTGTCACTGTGTAGTTGTTTATAATAGTCTCGATGATCTTTTGTATTTGTATGGTATCAGTTGTAATGGCTCCTTTTTCATTTCTGATTTTGTTTGAGTCTTCTTTTTTCCTTGGTTCGACTAGCTCCAAGTTTTTCAATTTTGTTTATCTTTTCAAAAAACCAGCTTTTCATTTGATTGTTCCTTTGTGTTGTTTTTTAGTCCAATTTCATTTAGTTCTGCTCTGATTTTTATTATTCTTTTGCTTCTACTAATTTGGGGTTTGGATTGTTCTGGCTTTTGTAGTTCCTTGAAGGGTATATTAGATTATTTATTTGGAATCTTTCTACTTTTCTGATGTAAGTGTTTATTGTTATAAATTTTCCTTTTAGCACTGCACTTGTATCTCATAGATTTTTGTGTGTTATGCTTTGGTTTTTATTTATGTCAAGAAATTTTTTCATCCAGTGGTCATTTAGGAGCATGTTGTTTAACTTCCATCTATTTATACAATTTCCAATGTTCCTCTTATTGATTTCTAGTTTTATTTTATTGTGTTCTGAGAAGATACTTGTTATGATTTTGATTTTTTAAACATTTGTTAAGAATTGTTCTGTGGCTTAACATGATTGATCATGGAGAATGTCTTATGTGCTAATGAGAAAAATGTGTGTTCTGTGGCTGTTGGGTGAAATGTTCTGTAAATGTCTGTTAGGTTCACTTGGTCTGATGTACAGTTTAAATTCAATATTTCTTTGTTAATTTTCCATGTAAATGATCTATCTAATACTAAGAGTGAAGTGTTGATTTCTTCAATTATTATTGTATTAGAGTTTCTCTTTCCTTTTACGTCTAGTAATGTTTGCTTTATATATCTAGGTTCTCCAGTGTGGGTGCATAATATTTAGAATCATTATATCCTCTTGCTGAATTGATCCCTTTATCACTATATAATGACCCTCTTTTTCGCTTTTTACCATTTTTGACTTAAAGTCTGTTTTATGTAATGTAAGTATAGTTACTCCTCTTTGCTTTTGATTTTGGTTGTTCAGTATCTTCTTCCATCCGTTTACTTTCATTCAGTCTATATTTTTTTTAACAGGTGAGATGAGTTTTCTTTTTTTGTAGGCAGCATACTACAGTTGGGTCACTTTTTTAGTCTATTCAGCCAATATGTATCTTTTAAGTGGAAAATATAACCTATTAATATTTCTTAAGTATAACCTATTAATATTCATTAATATTGTTTTTAATATGTAAGGTTTTATTCCTATACTTTTATTAATTGTTGATTTATGGTTATTTTATGTTTCTTTCCTTCCTTTTCTTTCTTTCTTTTTTTCCTTCCCATTTTTCTATCTGTACAGTCTGGCGGTTTTCTATAGTGGTAACATTTGAAATTTTTTCTTCTTTGTTTGTGTGTTTGCTCTACCTTTGGTTTCTATCTTCTTCTGTGTTTTCATGATGGTACATATCATTCTTTTGCTTCTTCATGTAGGACTTCGTTAAGCATTTCTTGTAGGTACAGTCTAGTGGTGATGAATAATCTTACGTTTTGCTTGTCTGGGATAGACTATATTTCTCCCTCATTTATGATGTATACATTTGCAGGGCTTAATCCCCTTTGTTAAAAAATTTTTCTTTCAGCACTTTGAATATATCATCTCATTCTCTCCTGGCCTGTAGAATTTCTGCTGAGAAATCCCCTGTTAGTCTGATTGGGGTTTCTTTATAAATGACTGGATGTGTTTCTTTTTCTGTTATTAGGAATCTCTCTTTTTCTTTGACTTTTGACAGTTTGTCTATAGTATGCCACAGAGAAAGTTGCATTGTATATTTTTGGGGATCTCTGAGATTCTTATATGTCTAAGTCTCTTGCTGGATTTGGAAAGTTTACAACGATTTTATTAAATAGGTTTTCTAACCCTTTCAGTTTTTCTTTGCCTTTGGTGAAACCTCAAATTTGAATATATTGTTGTTTTATGGTGTCACACATGTCACATAGGCTTTGTTCATTCTTTTTAAAACATTCTTTTTAATTTGTATCTGCCTGGGTTATATCAACAAAAGCCTGTATTCAAGTTCTGAAATTATTTCTTCTGCTTGATTTAGTCTATTGTTGTTGAAGCTTTTGAATATATTTTTATTCTATTTACTGAATTTTTCAGTTTCATAATTTCTATTTGGTTGTTTCTTATGATATCTCTTTGGGAAATTTTTAATTCATATCCTGAATTGTTCCTATTTTTTTGTATTGTTCTCTGATATCTCACTGAGCTTTTAAAATATTTCTATTTGAAATTTTTTCCAGGATTTCATGTATTTCTGTTTGATTAGAAACCGTTGTTGGAGAGTCACTGTATTACTTTGGAGGTAACATATTTCCCTGCTTTTTCCTGTTGCTTGTATCCTTACATTGATATCTCCATAGGTGATAACAATTACTTCTTTCAATATTCTGAATTTACTTTTGTAGAAGATGACATTTTGCTGAAGTTATGTCTATGGTATTGGTTGGGTAGGGCACTTTGGCTTTGATTCTGGGTGCATGCAGTAGTGTAGTGTTCTTATCATTCCTTTGGTTGTTATCTGCACCAGTCCTGTCTGTGACTTCCTCAGTGGCTTAAGGTGTGGTTGTTAGTGGAGGTTGTGGTGAAGTTATGCTGCAGATGGGACACAGGTGGGCCTGTCCTTGGGCTCCAGAAGTAGCAGCAGGGGGACAAGTCTGCTTCTCCTTAGGCCCCAGGGTGGCGTATGTTGGCACTGGTATTAGTGAATTCAGGCAGGCTGATTTTTGGGCCTCCAGGTGGCTCGCTCAGATTTCAGTAGTTCAGCCGTGGGCCAGGCAGTTTGGTGGGTTTTCAGGCCCCTGGGCAGTAGGCAAGTGAAGGCAATGGCAGTAATAATGGTAGAAATAACTTCTGGGTCCCAAGTGGTCCATGGTGGTGTTGTTAGTGGCTGTGATGGGCTGGGTGGACCAGTCCTCGGACCTATAGATGGTTTGTGCATATGTGTGCCCACTGTGGTAGTAGCAGCGGGTTGGGTGGGCCCAACTTCAGGCCCCTGGTTGGAGTACTCAGGAGCCACTGTTGGTAGACTGGGCTGGGTGGCCCCTAGAACCCCAGTCAGCATGTTTGGACACCTTTGAGTTGGAGCCAGGCCTAGTAGACCTTTTGTCAGGTCCCATGGTGGTGCTTGCAGGCACTGGTTATGGTAGGCAGGGATGGATGATCCCCAAGCCCAAGGCAGAATGCTCAGGTAGGAGCAGCAGCGACTGCACTACATTCTTGCTACTGAGGAGGGCAGGTTTGCTTTCAATGGCAGCAGGAGTATACAGGTGGCTAGGGAGTGTGCACTTTGCTTGTGCTTTGGCCCCAACTGTTGTAGCCCACTGCAGCAGCAACTACAGGTGTGGGAGTTTGCACTTAAAGTGCTTGAATATGCATAACAGCTTTGCTGCCTGGGGCAACTGGGCCTGGCAAAGGTGTCCTATGTGGAAGTGGCCCATGCTCCAATGACTCACGCTTTAACCTTGGAGGCAGCAGCCAGCTGCAGCAGTTACTGTAGGCAAGGCATGCCAGAGGGTTCCAGATATGTGGAGATGCAAGGGCTGTTTTGTGTCCTGGGCAGGATGTAGTCTGGTGAGGGCCAGGCTTTTTCAATACGGTGCCTTGCTGTAGCTATTTAGGACTCGGGGTGTGTGTGGGATACAGCGTGAGCTCCCTCTCTGGAGCAGTGCCTTCCTATGGTCTTCAGGCAGATCCCTGTATTTGTTTTGGGGCCATCAGGGCCTAGGGGCTTTCCCATGGCTAGGATATAGAAGTCCACAGTAGGATGGTGGACTATAGGGGTTCACTCTTGTCCTTTCCCCACATTGGGGAGCTCCCCCCAAATCCCAGACAATCATGACTGAAGAGGCTGCTTCACTTTCCTCTCCTTCCTTGTGTTAGGTGTTTTGTGTCACCTCTGCGTAGGATTCCAGTGTTTTCTCTTAGATGATTGTATTTGAAGTATGATTACCTACTCACTATTTTGGTTTTTCTTTGTGGAAGGGATGAATACCAGCTGCTGCTAGCCAGCCATCTTGGAGACCCAAAGGATTTTTAAGGCATAAAGAGTAACTTTATCTACCTCCACCTATTCTCTTACTCTGTCCCTCAGAACCTTGAGATGCTGAGTGAAGGGTCTCCAGATCCTTTCTCTGGCTTGTTTATTGTTGGGTATCACACTGCCTTCTCCCTTTGCTGACCTTCAGCTCAGGTTTTGAGTCTTTTGGTACCTAGGGGGTCACCTTTCTGACTAGAGAACAGAGAAAGGAGAGTGTGTTAAGACTTTTCCAGTGAAGGAAGCTGTCAGCAGAGAAGAAATCAGTGATTTAGGGGAAGCCTGATCCAGGACATGTAATTTGCAGGGTGTACTGAGCTGGGGGTAAAGCACAGAAGGGGAGGAGGGGAGAAGGGGATGGGTAGGTAAAAAGAGAGAAATAGGGATAAAGGAGAGAGATAACTAGATAGAGGTGATTAAATATACCAATATTTATTCTTCCAGAAACTTTAAGCAAATATTCATTTATTGCATGAGACATCAGTGGTCATAGGATAGAAGAGTATATAACTGATTCTCAAGGAGATACAGAAAAACCAAAAAAAAAAAAAAAAGAAAAAGAAAAAAGAAAGAAGAAAAGCCAAAGACTTAGTTTGGCCATGACACTATAGAACCAATTGTAGGAATTATTGAGAACTGTTTATCATTAATGGCTGATCATGATGCCACAGACTAATAATTATGAAAATTGTGAATGTACATTATTTGATTGTTACAGCACACGGTTAGTATATAGTCACTCTAATCTTTAACTTTCATGTTCAATTGCTTAGAATTTAAATATTTAGGTAACTTTGCATGAGACACTATTCATTCCACAAATTCTTTGTTACTAAAACAATTAGGTACAGAGTACTGAAGAAAATTGCAAAAAATCAAATGTGCAGTTGTGTCACCCCTTAACATTTACTGTGGGGCTACATTTAAACATTTTTTATTTTATTTTATTTTATTTTATTTTATTTTATTTTATTTTATTTTTTGAGACAGGGTCTTGCTCAGTCACCCAAGCTGGAGTGCAGTGTGATACAATCATAGCTCAATGCAACCTCGAACTCCTGGTCTCAAGCCATTCTCACACCTCATTCTCCTGAGTATCTGGGACTGCAAGCGTATGCCATCACACCTGAATAACTTAAATTTTATTTGGAGAGAAGGGGGGTCTTCCTATGTTTTCCAGACTGGTCTCAAATTCCTGACCTCCAGCAGTCCTCCTGCCTTGGCCTCCCAAAATGCCGGGATTATAGGAGTGAGCTACCATGCCGAGCTACATTTAAACATTAATATTTAAAAGCAGTATTTCATTCTTAAACTTTATGTAATTACGTGTAAAATGCTGGATGCATTATTTTAAAAATGCATGGATGCTTAACTTGGGAGAATCTGAGCTACCATGCCGAACTACATTTAAACATCAATATTTAAAAGCAGTATTTCATTCTTAAACTTTACGTAATTACATGTAAAATGCTGGATGCATTATTTTAAAAATACATGGATGCTTGACTTGGGAGAATAGAAGGAAAAAAGGAAGGAAAAAAGGAAAACCGGTATCTATTTCTTATTTCATGAGTGATAACATCTGTTCTGAAAGATCTGCATTATGGACTGAATTGTATCCGTGAAAATTCATATGTTGAAGCCCTAACTTCCAATGTGACTGTATTTGGAAACAGAACCTTAAAAATGTAATTAAGATTAAATAAGGTCATAAGGGTGGGACCCTAACCCAATAGGACTGGAGTCCTTATGAGAGAAGGAAGAAACACCAGCGCACACTCTCTCTACGTGTGCACACATAGAGGAATGGCTGTGTAAGGAGTAGCAAGTAGTCCCCTCTGCAAGCTGAGGAGGGAGGTCTCACCAGCAACCAACCCTGCTGGCACCTTGACCTTGGACTTCCAACCTCCACAACTTTGGAAAAATAAATTTCTGCATTTAAGCCACCCCATCTGTGGTATTTTGTTATGGCAGCCTGAGCTGATGAATAAAACAGGTGAGTATGTGGGGATATCCCCTCCATTGTTGTGTCTTCATTCCAGTTCTGAGTCAGGAGATTCTCGGAATTTCCTGGGAGTAACAGTTCCATCCAAGTTACAAGTTGCGTTAGGAGAAAGAAAAGGCTACACCTCAGAAATGATATAGCATTTGTTGCAAGAGCTCAAGCTAGCCTCTCTGTGAATCAGTGCAAAGAGAATAAAAGTAAATTCAATTAAAGACTTCTGTGATCCTATTGCCAAGTTTCTGTACAAAATCAATTATTATTATTTATTAACTTTTAAGTTCAGGAGTACACGGGCAGATTTGTTATAAAGGTAAGCTCATGTCATGGGGGTTTATGGTACAGACTATTTCATGCCTCAGACGTTAAGCCTAGTACCCATTAGTTATTTCTCCCGATCTTCTCCATCATCATCCTCCACCATCTGGTAGGCCCCAGTGTCTGTTGTTCACCTGTATGTGTCCATGTGTTCTCATCATAAAATCAATCATTTTTTATGCGTATAAATTGGGGTCAGATTAGGCTATGAAAGCACAGCATAGTATACAAAAATATTTTCAGCCTATAGAAAAATATTGTTAGTTAAAACACCTCACTGATACTTAACTTAAAAATAAGTAAATCATCATTATACTGAATCACCACCTCTTCTTTATCTTTTCAAAAATGGTCACACTAAAGTGACTTCCTTAGCAGATGTCTGGGTCTTTATTTTTGTATCATCAGCATCTAGCACAGCACTAGTTACATTATAGGAATTAAATAAAATATATTCGTTGAATACATGAATGCAATTAAATGGTGTATGTCTAGATTTTTCAATATATAGGGTATTTTCAATTATTGTTAACAGATCTAGATCAAACAAATTAATTTTGAAAAAGTCTTTACTTGTAAGAAATGATTATATATCTAATTATTTTCAAGGTTCTTCAACTCAACCGCCAGCTCTTATTTTCCTAACACAATCTTTGTTTTCAATTTAGATGTTTACAAATATATTAATCCAGCACTGGCTTGTTACACAATAGGAATGATCTACTTTCTGCTATAATTTATTCCTAGAAGAGGTGTGTCTTTATTATGCCTTATTAAATTAATGTATTACCCAAAAAATCTTTGTTTCTTAAAGTAATTAATAAGAGGATAAAAAAGAGGTTAAAATACAATTTGAAAAATTAAATTTCTTTTTTACATTAAACCTTAGTGTTTTTATTACATGATACATTTTACTGAAATTCCAGTCAATCACAATATTTAATGTGGGCATGCTGCTCTTATGGTTAGGTTGGATTGACTATGTTTTATGGAAAGAAAATATAAAGATAATATTACTAATTACATTATGATACTGGTAGTAATTTTAGGGGGAGAAGGCATATTTGCTGCTAGTGTGTCTTCTGTTAATCATATCTATTGTCCACCCAAGCTCTGGCCCTGAAAAGGCAGAAAGAAGAGCAGTTTTAGGGTCTCTGCCCTCCAATAGCTAGGACACCGACCAGTGTAGGAAGGTATCTTTAGGCCCTTTTGAGTTCTCCTGTACGTGTGACTTTGGAAACTGAAAGAGAATTTTTGAAGGAAAAAAAAAAATTGCAAATCATCAGAAATCATCAGGAAAAGAAACAGGTTTACCAAATCTGAAACCATATACTGTCCCATGCATTAGCCTTATCCCCATGAAGGCACCTGTGAGGCAGGATGCCCCAGGGACAGCAGTGTCTGCTCCGTCACCTCTGTGCACATGGAGCCATCTGTTACACCTGGCCACCAGTGCCTTCATGGAGTAGTTAATGTTTGAGTCTCCCTGAATTTTGGATTCATGTGTCCTCACATGGTGGACAGGCAAAGGGGCAAACAAATTCCCTCAAGCCTCTTTTAAAAGGACGCTAATCTCATTCTTGAGGGGTCTGGCCTCATGGCCTTGTCACCTCCCAAAGGCCCCACCTTTTAATACTTGCACATTGGTAATTAAATTTCAACATATGAATTTTGGAAGGACACAAACACTCAGACCGTAATAGCAAGCACTTACCACTGGCTATTACATATTTCCTCATCTATGTATTTGTCTTGATGTAAGATTCTTGAAAGGCGGGGCCTAGGCTGAATCGCTACGTCAACCTCAGAGCTTACAACAGTAATCAGTGCACCAATAAACATTTGTTTAACAGATGAGTGAAAGAATGAATGCTTATTCTTTATAGACCAGGAAGAAAAGAAAATGTTACTGTTACAAATGAGAAAACAAATTCCAAATGGCTAATAGTTTCCTTGGCAATTATAGGCCATTGGTAGCTTACATTATTGAGGACTTTTCTTTGAAACCAATCCCAGGGAAGCTTTCATCCCTAAGTGGGTGATTTATTCAAGTTATCAGTGTGAGTATTTGGCGGCTAAGGACCGGGAGAAGATGACAGAGGAAAGAGAGTTTGTGAGAGGGGTTTATATATGTGGTAGGTCTGTGGGTCTAGAAAATGAGTCAGGTTTTGCCAGGTGTCTACTTGGTAGAAGAATTAGAGGATAGCATTCTCCCTTTGGAACCATTTAATCCGTTGAAGTTGCAAGGTGCTGAGTCTGCTGTGGTCTAAAGAGTGAATCTGCTTCTATAAATGCCTCTTTAATATCATGGAGCCATGTGGAGCTCTTTGCCCTGTAGCACACAGTGGATCAGAAAGCACTGGGCCAGTGGTCCATGGCTTCCTGCATTGTGGCGGCCTACTCTGCCAGGAGTCCTTCAGGCAACTAGGCAAGAAAGAAGTGAGAAACATAGATTTAACACTGGCAACCACTGTACTCGCTTTACAATGCTTATTTTTGGAAAGTGGTTGTTGTAAAAACAATTCTTTATGTGTCCTTGAACATGATACTTCTTCAGTTTCCATTGTGATTGCCAAAGGGGTATATTCATACCCTTTTGAAATGAAGAAATGGATTCTCTATTGGGTTTGGCTTTTGTGTTTCTTAAACCTGTTAGCATCATGCATAGAGCAGAAATATATTAATTGAACTCTATGAAAATACTTCCTAACTCATAGTCTAACTCAGGTTTCAAATGACTACAGTGGCTAGGGAAGTTAGAATTTTTTTTCCCTAGAAGACATGTCTCATGATCTTTTCCTCTCTCTCTCTCATATATATATATGAGGGCTGTATATGGGGGTGGGGGGTACAATTGCATTTGTTACTTTTTTTCGGGGATTATCAGCCTAGGCAACAGTGCAAGTTCTTCCGGAGTCAGAGCAGAAGGAAATATGTCTTCCATATATGTGTGTGTGTGTGTGTGTGTGTGTGTGTGTGTGTGTGTGTGTGTGTAACACCATTCACACTTGAAAGTTGTGGGAATTTAGGAAATGAGAACTTTTGCCTATCTAAAGAGGTAAACACTGGAAGTTCCAGCTGATTTGTCATGTGGGTTTGCTGTGATGCAAGTTTGTATAATTGTTAAAATAAAGCTGAAAATATTATGTAAAAATTCTATATTGAATATTGGCATCTAGTTCTACTTTCTAAAAAAAATTGCCAGCCAACACTGTGCAGCATACTGTTCAAATTAAAGACACGTGTAAGCTGTGATTGGCTAATGGCCATCAGGTTGCGGTCTCTGGTTAAATGCTAACGGGCATCCATCTCCACATTTCCACCATTGCATTTGTGCCCAGTAAGCCCTTGCTGTTGTCATCACTTGCTTTGTGGAGGGACCTCTTCTCCTCTAGATTTTCTCTATGTTCTCTCCAGGATGTACTCAGTGTCTACACCACCAAGCAGGCTTTGAAGCTCTGAGTTTCTATCCAGAGAGCTTCTTTTTCCATGTGCTGTCAGCTGGATCTCTCAAGGACACATAGTGGCTCTGCCTCAGGTGTAGACCTCCTTGAGCCATTCTTGAAGGAAAGTCTTCACATGGTTTCAACTCTGCAGCCCTCCTAAGATGGCCTTTTCAATAGCTCTTCACCTCCCCACTCCCATCTCTTCATGTGCCATAGCCTTGCCCCTCTGCTTGAGCCACAGGCACTAACGTGTATTTATTAGGTGGAAGCAGGCCCCCAGCCTTGCAAGGCAAATGTTTGTATGTGGTAGAGGGTCTATATTAGGTGTAGACCCTCTTTCTGTATGAACATGTCTTAGACTCTCTTCCTATATGAATGAGAACGTAATGATGGACCTCTGATACACGGTGTAGAGTAAGGGAGTGGGGGCTACAATTGCACTTGTTACTTTTTTTCGGGGATTAGCATCCTAGGCAACAATGCAAGTTCTTCTGGAGTCAGAGCAGACGGAAATATGTCTTCCATTCTGATTCATGTTTCAAAAATGAAAAAAAATATATGAATAGACTCCCTTCTTTTCCAAAAGAATACTGCCCTGGTATTAAAGGCAACTACTGTGACAGATGCAAAGCAGGAGATGCCTATGTGTGTCTTTCCCCTTGTTCAATTCTATAGTCTGCAATTGTAACTGTTGCTCTCAGTGACTAGAATTGCAGGTTGGCAACCATAAATCTGGAAGTGACATTCTAGTAAAGAAGACAAAGCAGAAAAAAAAAAGTGCCATAAATGCATTGAGTTCTCTCCTGTGTCTCATTTTCTACAACAACAAAAAATAAGCCCTAAAACTGTACCTAAAGCCTTTCTTGCTGTATACTACGATTATTCCTGATTCATTAAATACTTTTGCAGCTGTAATCAAACTTGTTTAAAGCTCACGTGTTCATGGGCTAGAAAAACACTTTAGAAAAAATGTGAACAATCAAAGCACAATTGCCAGCATATTATTATTGGTATTTTTCAGCATAATGCAGTTTCCGTTCTAGTCCACTCCACTTTTTGAACATTTTATGTCTGTAGGCATATGCAAATACAAATCCCTAATAGAGTTCTTATTGTGTCAGTGCTTGAGTTATATTTACTTGCCAGAATATTCATAATACTAGGTGCCTGTGAAAACCATTGAATTTTTGTGGCTAAGGTTGTATTGGAGAGATAATGGCTTGAACCGAAAATGACCACTGCTACTTTGCATTTGTGAAATGACATAATCTATTTTCTCTTTTTGATAATAGTGTAGGGCACATTTTTAACACCTGGGAATGAAGCTTTTCCCCCTTTCTGTAACTTCTTACGTTGTTAATGTTAATTTGAGCACCATTACTCACAAACTTTTGGTGACTACAGATTTGAATATTAAGACTATATAATCAGAGATTAAATTATAACATAGTGGAAATATCAGAGATAAATTTATAGCATAGTGGGAACATGACAGTAGGTCTTTATTGAAATTACTGCTTTAGAGAGAGGAAACGGTAATTAAAAAGAGAAAGCTATTTTATTGCTTCATCAAATAGTTTAGATGTTCATCTTGTTATTTTGTCACTTTCTATACTGGATGTTAATTTTTTTAAGATGAAATTATTTTATATGCAATCGAACCATCTTAAAATTAATCTTAAGAAAACTGGAAAATAAACATTTATTTCTCCAAATGAAAACCTATAACAGTATTATACCAAACAAAAACTTTGCATGTATTTTCAAATCCTATTTACTCTGGAAGAATCCTAGGTTTTTCATTTGGGCATTTTGAAACATACGTTGGTCTAATGGCATATTTCATATGGAGTCCCACCAGTCATCAGCAATCTAGAATCAGTGTCTGAAGAAGATTCTCAAATGGAGGCATTAGTGAAGTTTGGAAGGGCACATTGGACTATCATCATTTCAAAGATGGACACGATTCTATTTCCTTATCTGCTTGCAGAGCTATTTAAGAATCAATGTCTTATTTTTCCTGAGTCCTTTATAACCCTATTCATATTTTCAATTGCTGATGCCTCTTTGAGCTACGAGTTCTACTTTGTGCATAACGTTGAGGAATTTCTACGTTTACTGTTTCTCCTTACTTCACTCATCTCCTTCATTAATGGCTGGCAAGTCACCGAATTTCACTTTTCTTTACACAGGTGTAAGGAAAATTGCACTTTAGTCATGAGTAGGCTGAGGCAGCCTTCCAGTGCAGCATGACTCAGCGGATTTGCAGCACAGGTGCACAACCCCACACATTATGTAACCACGCCACGTGAGGCACATTAGGTGATCATCCACGTGAGCTTGTGCTTGGCTCAGAGCCATTATTGCCTGTTAAAAGTTATGATTACCCTGCTAACGCTGTACGTACAGCTTGCGCCTAGGCTTACTCCTGCCCAGAGCGAGAGTAAAGCCATGTCAAAACTGTCTGCAGTTCCTCAAGTGTTTTTCCAGCCACCTGCCACTCACCCACCAACTCCCCTTGGACCTCAGTAAGAACCTGACAATAGGTCAGCTCACTGTTATTTTATTATTGGTGGTTAAAGCTTGTGGTGGTGGGTGGTCCTGACTTCATTCAGGAAGACATTGTACAAGAGTTGTAGAAGAGGAGAAAAACTAATAATTTGGCTAATGTTGTGGAAACCTCGAAACTCATACAGTCACCTTATGTAACACTAACCTCATCAGGGCCTAGGATTTGCATAGCAGACTGAGCAGATTGCTAGACCCATTCTTTAGGCTGCCTTTTTATGATTCAGCATTGTTTTCTAGGCAATTTTTAATGTTTTTGGAGTGATGAAATAAAAGAGGGAAAGGTGAACTAGAGAACAAAAGATAAAACTCTTCCCTTCATTGCCTCACGAGAAAAATTAAAGTGTCTTTTTTAAATGAGTGATGATTCCACCTCTGGACACAGCTCAAACGCCATTGGAATGCTTCCCCTATTACAGGGAAGTGTTGAGAGAAAAAGCAATTGTCCAGAGAGTTGATGTAGTGTAGTAGTGTGGATCCTGTTTTTGAATTCTGGCTATAACTGTGTGACCTTAGGCAAGTTGCCTAACATCTCTCAATTATAAAATGAACATAAAAATTGCACCAATATTATGGTATTGTTATGAAGATTAAATACATTAATACTTACACAATAGTTAGAAGAGAAATTGCAACATAGTAAACATTAGGTATATCAAACATACATGTGAACAGAAAGCGTAAAAGAAAGCAGATATTCAAGGAGACTTCCAGCATGCCAATTTTCGAGTTCAAATACTATCTTTCCAAAACAATCCGTCTGAAGTCCGAGAACACACTCAATATTGTTGATTAAATGTTTAAATAATATTTATTATAGCTAGCATGTTCATTTTTAGACAGGTTAAATTTATGAGGCAGCAAAGTTATAATATTATGTGTGGTCGCTACAATTTATGGTGCATTTTGGTCCCTGTATAATCAACATGCACTGTTCATGTATGCCCATTTTATAGGACTAGGAGTATAATGATGATATTTTAAATTATTATAGAGGCCAAACATTGTTCTATCTTTGCCTTTATAGCATATTGTTGATCATATCTCAAATTCATTTGAAAAATGAATCCTTGTTCAGGAACACAACATCCAATTACAAAATTACTCCTAGGGGAAAATACAAGCTGTTTTATGGTGTGATTTCCAGGAATGCATTGTGGTGTGAAGTAGAAATTACCTACATCAATTTTGTTTTCTTTATTTATTTCAAGACTATCTCTCCCTACAAGTTTTACCTGCTTTGTTCCAGTAGTTTATAATTTGGTAAATAAGTCAGCATTTCATTTTTCTTATACAGCTCCCTGTTCATCCCCTGATTTCTGTGTTGCCTTTGCCTGAACCTCCTCTAGTTTCATTAAATTTAATTAGTATCAATTGCCAGTGTCAGCACGTTGAATTGCTTTATAAGGCTGTATAAATGGCCTCTGATGGCTTCAGTGTAAATCCTAGTCATCTGGATCAGGTATATAAAAACTTCCCTTAAAAGTGGTCTCTGCTATGCAAACTAAGTTCCTTCTCATCTCTATATCATCTCATTTCTATATCATATTATTTCCTCATTTTCCTACAGAAAGGACTTGGGGATATAGAAAGGGCGTATGTAAGAGTTCTAAAAATTATTAAAGGTTTGAGAAATAATTTTTAAGAGAAAATGTCAAACGGTTTTGGAGTGTTGCCCAGCCACTTTCCTGTACTCACATTCACCCAGCATCTATCTAGTCTTCCTAACCCCATCTGGAAGCTCAGCTCCACTCCTGTTCCTGGAGGAAGGCCAGCCTATGTTCAAAACTAAATTAGCCTTGCATCCATTTCTTACCTCATGATTCGAGCTAAGCATGTTTCCTGGTTCCATCATCTGGGCTCTCATTTTATTCCTTTTGCTCATGTTCTCACCTTGTACCTATCACCAGTTCCCTTTTTGCCCTCTTTAAGTCCTATTTTGCCCTATTTAAGCCCTTGCTTAAATTGATTGCCCAGGTAAACATTTTTCCTGGATTTTATTATTTATTTTATGAGATCCCTGTTTTCTGCCATCGATCTTCCTTTTACCCAGAATGTCTGTGTCTTTAGCTTCCATTTCATTCAGTGTTCAGAATGTCTTCATAGCATGAGTGCCCTTTTTTTGAGACATCCATCCACCCCCTGGCACTGAAACTTTCTGATGGGAGATCCTACCCATGCCCATCCTTGTTAGCTCTGTAGTTACGGAACCTAGAAGAGTCCACAGATAACCAGAGGTGCCAGAAATCAACGCTGGACTCTGGTAACTCAAATTTACTTATTAAAAAATAGAGACAATTTGTTTGCCAGTAATATATGCCTTTTAATTTTTGGTGAAATGCAAGATTAGAAATGTTCTTAGAGCATTTAGAGATCAAGTTTGATTAAGGGATTAGAATGGGAAATTTAGGCTTAGGAGTCATCACACTTATCCTATCATGTTAATCCCCCTCTCTCCATGGTCAAAAACTGCTGTTGCCTCCCATTGTTGTCAACATTACACTCACAGTCCTTATTAGAGTGGTTAAGACCCTGTGATCTGTATTCATTCCTTTAAACCCACATATGCTTGATTCTCCTACTCATATCCTGCGATCTAACCAAACTAGACTACTGCTTTATTTCCAAAACCCCACACAATAGCCATCTTGGACCTTTTGTTTATTCTGTTGCCTGTAGGTGGAATTATCCCCTTATCCCTATCAGAATACTATCTAGCTTTCAAGGCAGATTTCAAATGCCACTTTATCCACGATTAATTTCCTCTTTTCTCCAATCAGATGGGATCCCTTCCTCCTTTGAATTCACAACTTAATTTGTTTTGGCATCTCTTATTGAATCTATTCTTAAATTCTGTCTTGTATTACTGGTATACAATAAAACCCAGTCTAATTAATTAGAGGGACTCAAAACATTTTTAAATGCTTAAAATGTTAGCACACATTATTGGGAGGCTGATAAAATAAGCGTAGGCAAGTCTGTGTAGCTAGCTGGCCTGTCGTTCCCAAGGAAAGGCTGGCTGCTAAGATCAACCCTTCTAAATCTTGGCTATAGTTTGGTGACACCCACTGGACAGGGTCCATAAAAACTTACATTTCAGTGGGCATGATTCCGCCTGCTGTTTTTGGCTGGAACTGCCAGGACGATGGTAGCAATTTCAGGAATCTTCTCTTTGGTGATTCCTCTTTTGTCAGCTGGATCCAGGGAATACTGGCTGAGAGAAGTTTAGGAATGCAGGGATACTCTTCTGCTTTTCCATTTTCTAAAACTCAGTTGCTTGCCATCTTCTGTCAACCTTGCCTTCCCTCCTGCATTTACTCAATCATCCTCAGAAGATACGAGCTTTAATTCTAATCATGTCCTTCCCCCAGTATTTTGAGGAAGGAGTCTAGGCAGCACATAAGAGCCAATTGCCAATTATTTCATGCCCTAATTTGCTTTACTGCCAAGGCACCTTTTTATAGGATTTTTGCTATATATATGTATTAAAGGCTTTAGCAGGGCAGGGGACTATCTTTGTAATCCATCACAATGCGTAGATACACTTTGTGCTCAGTAGTTTTAGAAATTAGATTGAAGCTGAGACTAAACTTTCCAAGGAAAAGAGCTTACAAATGGATTTTGTTAAGAAGTGGTAGGAAAAAACAGTGATGTCAAAGAAGCAAGATGCCACAGTTCATTTGCTGGTGTAGCAAAAACACCAGACAAAGTTGAGCAAGTCATATAACTCTGAGCTCAAGATTATCATCTTTAAAATGCTGATATTATGTCTACTGTATACTACTACTGCTGCAGGCTATTTTTCACTCAACAAATACTGTTCACGTGTCAGATGCCAAGTGCTGGGTGTTAGGAATACATCACTGAAAATCACAGACATGGTTCCAGCTCTCATGACATTTCCAATCTAAAGTAGTGTTGCTATTTTATGCTTTAACTATGAAACTATTAAGGACATAGTTAACATAAACATTATAAAAATCTCCCGAGTCCTAAAGATTAAAACAACCTCCTGGGGTTTCAGAAATGATTAATTTAGAGATATCTATACTTACAGTCCCCTTCATTAGATCCCAAAGATAACTAGACACAGGACTGCTCTTTAAGTGTAACCGGAATAGGCAACACTTTTGCTATGTTTCTAGAAGCACTGGGCACTTTCCTTGTAATTTCCTCAAATACCTGCCTTATCTTCTTGGTCTGTTAGCTCAGGCTTTATCAGAAATACATTTGTGGGAGTGGGTGTGCACATGTGTATGTTTTAAGCCATTGAGACTCCGAGAGTTTTCTTTGAAATTGCAAATACTCTTCAGGGGATAAAACACATTCAGTTATCATCAGTTGTCAGTATAATTGGTTTTTCTGATTCTTTTCTTCATGGCATCTAGCCGAGTTCACTGGGAAGCCAGCTAATAATGTGCTGAGTACTGGGCCAAGCACCATTTCTGTAGTTAGACTTACAACTTGCCCCCCTTTTGACTCTGCTACTCTCTATTGTTTGTTATCTTATCCTACCAATAATTGCAGCTTTTCATGTCCTCATCATATTTCCCATACACTGGGCCAGAACTGGTGCTAGAAGAATCTTCCCTGTGGTTTTCCACCCCCAACTGAAGGTTGGTGTAGAGCACAGAAGTCCAACAAAGCCAATGTAACATCACCCAATGTGAACTGACACATTATGTGAAAAAAAAGGGGGGGAGTGTGTGTATATATACACATACTCACAACTACATAGATATAGTATACATTTGAAGAAAGTATTGGTTCTTACACTTTCTCCTTTTAAGTATAGAGTGAGGGTTCTTTTCTCCTTCTTTGTTCCTCCACTTCGATTATGTACAAACTCCCTTAAGGTATTAAAGGTGCCCTGAGGAGCCAGTGTGCTCGCTCTCTGTGGTATCTCAACACTTAACTAATCGTGCCTATAAAGTGACGCTCTAAGGGCTCACTTAAGAAGAGGAGAAGAGGGTTCAGGTGCCTCTCAGGATGTAAAATGATGAGTTCTGGATGCATATTTCTAACAGATGGACACGGCATTAAGAAAGCAGCCACAGAAGGCAGCAGGTGGAGCAGGCAGCTGGAAAGCGCAGCCACTTGCAGGAGCACTTGACATTAATTACACCTGTTGGAATTCTCGCCCAACTTTTTGCTTTCAAATGTGTTCTCAGTATAATCACTGTGAGGCAGGGGGAAAAGAAAAGCAGCTGAGGGCTGGAAACAGGAAATGGAGCACTTGCACTGAGAGCAAAGAGAAAGAGGTGGGCCAGGGGGACGGCTTTTCTGGCTCATGCCCTTCAATTAATCACATGTCCAAAATAGGAGCCACGGGTGCTATTACTTATAGTGGTCCAGATGATTCCATCTTGGGGCTGAAGAGGACAATTTAAAAACAATTAAACAAATGTTCAAAGCAGTAAAAGCAGGAGTATGCATTCAGTCCTTTAGAAATTAAACATGTTGCTCTGTATCTGAAGAGATTAAATATATACATTTAATGTTTTGTATCATCTGAGCTCATTTCAAAACTTTCTTGGGCCATGTAGTGATTTTCCAAATCTCTGAGATTCTTCATTTATTTCTGCCTGTACAATGGGATCCTAGCTTTCTCTAAGCTGTGTCCTAGTTATCAGCACAACTTGCATCTTCTGCTACTCTATGGCTCACAGTGTGGCTCCTTTCATGATAAACTTATATCATTGCCTGAAGCTGTGTGGATGTTCTAGTCTGCTTCCGCTATTCTTTCTCTCTGGAATGCCCCTGTTAGCCTTACAAATTTCTGCTCACCATTAATTGTGAACTCAAGGGTTAAATGTGTAATAAAGCCTTCAGTGATTGTCCCAGGCAGACCTGAGCCTTCACCCTCCTCAGAGTCACAGGACCTTTCCCATTCATTTTCAAAGTGTGGAGCACCTTGCTGTGCTGGGCTGGCCTGGACCCCCTCCTCTGGGCCATGAGCTCTGTGAGGAGAGCTCCATTTCTACTCTTCTGTAGTTTCCTCCTTCCCCCCAGCTCATAGTCCCCCACTTTATAGTTCTGACTAAATGTGATTTGAATATAAGTTGCCTTTACCTGGAGGTATAGGTCCCACCACTGAAAAATAATTTTAACCCAATCTCAGTATCTCCTGAGAAAAAATAAGATGCGGCTTTCAAAACTATCAATTGTCTTCAGGTTTTTGCTCACTTTCCAGTGAGACTTACCCTGACTACCACTGTATTACAAAATGGCAAGCGCCTTAGGTATTAATGTGTGATGGGATTTTTGCTCATTATGGTATGAAATGATGTGAGGTAAAACATATATTTTTATAAGGAATAAGGATGGAGTTAAAAAGGTCTGTTGAAGTGAAGTAAAGAGGAAATGGAAATAAACATGATTGTGAAGAGATGGCTGCGGTTTAACAATGCATCCAGCTGAAGAATAAATCTACCTCTGCTAATAATAGAGGTTGATTTTTCTCACCAAGATGACTGGCACACATTTATGTAGACCTAAATGAAGGGACCGTTGCACTAGCTCAGTAATGCCGGAGCCAGAATCTGTGTAGTAAGACTTTTTTGTTTTTCTCTCATGGTTTCAAGATGCCTGCCAGAGCTTCAAATAGCATGCCTATTTTCAAAAGGAATGGAGAAGAGAGTTGCACAGAGACCTTTAACACATTTATCAGGAAAGCAAAAGCTTCAACAGAATCCACTCTGGATACAGTTGCCAGTGTCTAGATGGGCAATGCCTTGATGTCACTTAGCTTCCCCTAGGACAGAGTAAAGAAAGGAAGGATTTTACTTTCCCAGCCTCTGTCCTGGAGCTGGGAGAGAGGAAAAGGGATTTGGAATGATCTCTGGGTTACCCAACCAGCAGTGTCTGCCGCAAAAATAACTAGTAGATAAAATGAATTGGCCAAAATAAGTAAATTGAAAGAAGACATTCACTTATAGTGGATATATAAGTAAAATGAATAATTCAATCAAAGGATAAAATAATATGTCTTAGGACAAATGCATAAACTAGATGTATGTATCAAATACATAATTTTAAAAACAAGATATGAGAGCAGAATTGTACAATATTATACTACTCATGTCATTAAAACACACAAAATACTGATTATTAAATGGATATATATATATATATGTATAAATGTTTAAAAACATAAACTGGAAGATACACATCAAATTCAGCCTAGTAGTTGCCTTCTTTGTGGAAGAAGAGGGTAATAGGGAAGAGGAACAAAAGGAACTTCATTTTATTTTGCAAAGTTTCACTCCTGTCACAAAATCAAATGGTAAGGCTGGTATGTATATGAGAGTTTGGTGAGAAAAACAACTAGAAGAAATAGTAAGAGTTTAAATTTAGTTCTATCACTGAAAATAAATTTAAAGGAGCATAAAATGAAAACACAGATGGGATTCTAATTGCCACGAAAGCCTAAGAAATAGAGACATAATTTACCACGGGAAATAGTACTGAATGAGGAAGAAGCCCCAGAATCAGCCTTTGACTTTGGTTCTGAACTTACTCACTTTGAACTTTAGCTTTCTGACTTGAAAGATGAGGATTTTTGTTTTTATTTTTTCATTGTTCTTTAGAAATATTTATCGTTTGGCTGGGTGTGGTGGCTCATGTCTGTAATCCTAGCACTTTGGGAGGCCAAGGAGGGCAGATTGCCTGAGCTCAGGAGTTTGAGACCAGCCTGGGTAACACGGTGAAACCCCATTTCTACTAAAAAAATACAAAAAATTAGCCAGGCATGGTGGTGCGTGCCTGTAATCGCAGCTACTTAGGAGGCTGAGGCAGGAGAATTGCTTGAACCCAGGAGGCGGAGGTTGCTGTGAGCTGAGATCGCGCCACTGCACTCCAGCCTGGTCGACGAAGTGAATCTCTGTCTCAAGAAAAAAAAGAAAAAAAGAAATATTTATTTTTTAAGAATATTAACTATTTTGTAATAAGGCATGCTTTAAAACAATCTTTGCAATTTAAGTCATAAACTGTGGTGGTCCTGTAAAACATCAAAATTGTTCATTTATTTGATTTATATTTATTGAAAGCTTACTATATGCTGGAAGCCTAGGAAATAGGGCATAAATCAATCAAAAGTTCTAGTGCTAATGAAAATGATAGTCTGACTGGGGCCAGAGATAGTAAGTACATACTTAGTATATAAGGAAGCCCATGAAGCAAAATGTAGCAGGATCAGAGAGTACTCAGGGCCAGGTGACAGTGGAACTAATGCTCTAGTAGCTAGATTAGGTTTCTCTTACAAGGCACTATTTAGCCTAGAAAGAATGTAAAAGTCAAATATCTTTCACAAGTAACATTTGCTATGAGTAATTTAAATTATATATTATATAAAATATATTAATATAGTAATTATAACTGCCTTGTATTTTAATACGGATTTGTATGTGCTTCAAGGGGTTTTGTTCTTTCTTTTTGCACACATACTGCTTTTTATCATAGCACTCCCATCCAGACAAGAAGTATACATTCTCTGCTTTGTAGTCAATCTCTTTGTGTCAGTTTGGATGGAAACCTGACTTTGTGTCAGTTTGGATGGTTTGATTCCTACACATCTAATATCTTGAGCGGATATTCCTGGATGAATAATGGTAAAGTTATCTCCCTTAGGAAAGCTTGTTGTCCCCATCATGTCTGTGTTACACAGCCATTGGATATACAACATTGGCTGGAGTGGGGAAGGTTTGGGGGATTTTCTTATCAGCTGTCTTCTGCTCTTAGTTAGTGAAATCTAACAAGCACCCAGACCGATAACATGTGAGTTTCCATTTGAAAGTTTGGCTCTTGTTTATAAATATTAATACGGTTGAAAGTTAATATATTTTGAAAAATGCTTTAAGATGTTTTAAAAAAGGCTTTTAAAGTTTCATATTCTGCAAGAGTCTGGACAAGTAAAATACAATTGGCCTTTGAACAACATGGGTTTGAACCACACAAGCTTACTTATGCTCAGATTTCTTCTGCCTCTGCCACCCCTGAAACAGTAAGACCAAGCTTTCCCCTTCCCCAACCATTCAACATGAAGATGACAAGGATGAAGAGAGGATTCCATTTCCACTTAATGAATAGTAAATATATTTTCTCTTTCTTATGCTTCTCTTAACATTGTTTTCTCTAGCTTACTTTATGGTGAGAATACAGTACATAATACATAGAATACACAAAATATGTGTTCATCAATGGTTTATGTTATCAGTATGACTTCCTGTCAACAGTAGGTTATTAGTAGTTAAGTTTTTGGAAAGCCAAAAGTTACTGTGTGAGGGGTTGGCACCCATAACCTCCATATTGTTCAAGGGTCAACCATACATTATTTAGATTTGATCAAACTGGATTTTTAGTATGTTTTTGATTTTAGGTCATCACAGAACTCAAGGGATTTCTGAGACAAATAGCCTAATGGAAGATTAAACGCAAACTGAAAAAGATCTTAATTTACTGAGAAAACTGGAGATAGGAACTAAGGTTTAAAATCTGAGTAGCTGAGAAGCTGCCACTTATTCCAGTGTCTGAAACATGGATATATTGAAAGATTGAAAGAAAATCTTATAATTGAACAGTGAGCGTCTTTGGATATTGTGTAAAAAGCTCTATAAAAGATAAGAGCCTGATGTTAGCTTGGAGAAAGTCCCCCTTGCCTTATTAATGTTGGTAAAACTTTGTTACTACTCAAAAAATAGCCATCAACTTTAAAACCAACAAACATTTTCATAAGCCACTAATATTGACCATGCCATTTAGTTCTACCTTATTTATTCTTTGACTTCCAGGAATAGATTCCCTTTCCTCCTCTGGAGATCATGGGATTGGAAATTTTGGCCAATGGTAGATAAATACAAAGTTGTTGTGAGGTCTGCATGTGTGCTGGAATATACATACTGTGGTTAGAAAAGTGCCTGATACATAGTAAAAACACCATATCCATAAAATTAATATAATCAAATAAACCAGAAAGTTAATACTATCAAAATTAAAGAGTAGTATATTTTGTAACTTTTATATTTGCTGCCAGATTTTCTTTGTTCCAGTTGCCAAAACAAATATTGGCTGATGAAAAACCTAACTTAAACATTGACCCAGGAAAATTTGGGTTTCATCTCTAAGCAATCTTCTCTGTGCTGTAGTGCCAGGCAGAGGGCTGTTCTCTCCCTAATATATCATTCCTGCTGGAAACCAGGAAAGTCTAATGTCACCATTAGAATTTATTTTTTTCTGTCTTGGCTTGCAGATTAAACTATACATGTCTCTGAAAGCTAACAGCTTATTATTAACAGTTAGAGCAGAGGTTAAAGAAAACATTCCTAAAAGAATGAGAACTAGGGTAGGATTTGGAGCTATGAAGTGAATTTAGTGAGGGAAAGAAATGGGGAAAGATAACAGGAGAGGAAAGTGAAGCTCAAAGGCGAGGTGGAAAGGCATAGAACCTTTTATAGCTTACATCTTACTTGTGTCTGGAGCAGGCCCTGGCCTGTCTATATAGAGGAGAAAAAAGGTTACCTGTTAACCAATGGATGATTTCAGTTGAAGATTCCTAGACTTCACATTCAAGGGTAAAAAGCAGAATGTATCACCATACCAGGACTCGTAGTTTCCTGCTATTCAAAACTCCAAATTCATAGTCCTCATTCCTGGAATACTATTTAGGTTGGTGCAAAAGTAACTGTAGTTTTGACATTGAAAGTAATGGCAAAAACTGCAATTACTTTTGCACCAACCTAAATCGTGTAGTTGTTTCACCATGTATATGAATCCAGTTATTCTGTTAGATTTGGGGCCAAAAAAGATTTGAAGAATTGCTAAAGGATAGAACTTTTCTGATATAGCTCAATGTTGTGATAAATACATGCTCTGAAAAATGAAGGAAAGCTATTTAGAATAGAGAATTTGTTCCAACGTAAAACAAATTTAATGGAAGGAGAATTATCCTAATAATCGATTATGAAAGAAAAATACTCCTCTGGAATTTTGTATATAATGGCTCAAAGACACGAAACTTTTATATTTTAAGAAGAAAGAAAAGTGAAAATAAAAGTGCTTTCATATAAATGATGAAAATGAATCTGTAATACCTGTTCATTCATCTACAGAGAATGTTATTAGATCAGAATGAGAACATCCTAATAAAGAAAGGAAATTGAATAGGTAGGTTATGAAGCATTACAGGATGCACAAGAAACAGTTTGTACCCTCGATAGCCACCTGAGGTGTGTGCCATTATACTTTCCAAAATTAGTGAAATTCTAATTCTTTTAGAAAGGATATTTTCCATTAAAGATTAGAAAAATCAAGAAATAAGTTCTTTTTGATGAAACTTTGAAGTTAGGATAGCAGCAGGCTTTATTTCAGTTCCTGCCGTGTTTCTTTTTCCTTTAGAATTAAACTATGTATGTTCCAGGAGAAATGATTGTATCAGTTAAAATAAAAATTACCACGGTTCTTCTAAGCATCCTCTTTTAGTGTATTTGATAGAGACCATGAAGTTTTCAAGGGAGACTGTAGTCTCTGCACATAGGAGTATCAGATTCTGTGAATAACAAGAGACAAAAACCCAATGTCAAAATGTGAGCCTGCTGTATTGGCACATTGGTTTGAGTGTTCTGCTTGTGCGGGCAAAAGGTTGACCATTGAATTGAAGAATGTGCTTTTCAGAGTAATAAGTTCTTACCATAGAAAGGTCAGCTAACACAGAGGGAAGATTATGCAACTGAGATCGAGCGTGTCAACGGGGACCCTCAAAAGGGAATTGATATTATGGCAGACATTATCTTCTGTTTTCTAAGTTCTAACGGAACATTTTAATGGAACTCAGAGAAGACTAAATTTGTTGTCTGCACAACTCTTATTAACATTTTGTCTTGCTCCACAGAGAGTGCGTCCTGCAGTAGGTGAGACATGATAAAGTATTTCCAACGCTTACAATAATGAAATGTTAGCATGCTTGACCTCTGCAGCTATCCATCATTAAAGAATTAATTTTCTGGACCTGAATCCATTTATTTCCTCATTTTAGCGTATGTTTGGTTATTAAGGGGAAGGGAGAGTAAAACTTTATAGATAGAAGGAGAAAATAAAGTTATTAACCTGTCTTGCCAACAACCCATTTTATGTAATAGGGGAAATGTTGAACTACTCATTAGCTATTCTTTCTCTAAGGTTAAACAGGTAAAATAAAATAACCCACTACTAAGAGATAACAAATGTTGAATAAACTGGGTTTGAAAGAAATATTATAATTCGTTTTTAAAGGGAAGAAAAATGCTCAGGAAATTCTCAATTTTTATTTTCCTTTTTCCACTTGAATGTGAAAAAAATTATAGAATTATCTATTTTCAGGTGGATAAGAAACTGCATAATTGAATTATACAAAAACTGAAGGATTTTCATGCACAAGGAGAGGATTCTGAAGCACTATAACTTAATTACAGATTTAAAATCATTTAAAGAAATTCTTTTTAGAAAAGTTACTTGTCTATAAACTATGTATTGGGGTTCTCCAGAGAAACAGAACTATCTTAATCCACTTGGACTGCTGTAACAAAATATCATAAACTGGGTGGCTTATAAACAACAAAAATGTATTCCTTACATTTCTGGAGTCTGGGAAGTCCAAGATCAAGGCAATCGTAGATTGAGTGTCTGGTGAGGGCCAACTTCCTCATAAGTGGCACCTTCTTGCTGTGTCTTCACATAGCAAAAGAAGAGAGTCTCTTAGCCCTTTATAAAGGCACCAATCCCATTCATGAGGGCTCCACACTCATGACATAATAACCTCCCAAAGGCCCTACCTCCTTTCACCGTAATATCAATAATCAGGTTTCAGCATGCATATTTTGGTGGGGACATGATATGGTTAGGCTGTATCCCCACCCAAATCTCATCTTGAATTGTAGCTCACACAATTCCTACATGTCGCGGGAGGGACCCCGTGGGAGGTAATTGAATCATGTGGGGATCATGGGGGCGGGTCTTTTCCATGCTGTTCTGATGATGGTGAATAAGTCTCACAAGATCTGATGGTTTTATAAGAGGGAGTTCCCCTGCACATGCTTTCTTGTCTGCCACCATGTCCCACGTGCCTTTTGCCTTCTACCATGATTGTGAGGCCTCCCCAGCCACGTGGAACTGTGAGTTCATTAAACCTCTTTTTCTTTATAAATTACCCAGTCTTGGGTATGTCTTTATCAGCAGCATGAAAATGGATTAATACAAGACACAAACGTCCAGACAATAGCAAGAACATATATATATATATATGTTTCCATATATATGTTTCCATATATATGTTTCCATATATATGTTTCCATATATATATATGTTCCCATATATATATATGTTCCCATATATATATATATATATATTCCCATATATATATATATATATATATATATATATATATATATATATATGGAAAGAGAGAGAGAAAGAAGTATAGTACTGGCTCATGTGATTGTGGGGACTAAAAAATTCAAAATCCTCAGCATGGGCTGGCAGGCTGGAAACCCCAGAGAACCAATGGTGCAGTTTGCTAGAGAATTCCCTCTTGATTTGGAAGGCCAGCATTTTTGTTCAACTGAAAGGATGAGGCCCATCCACATAATGGAGGACAGTCTGCTTTATCCAGAGTTCACTGATTTAAATGATAATCTCTTTCAAACACACCCTGCAAGTTAACATATAAAATTAACTATCATGCATCATATATTTACAAATGGCCAAGAATTAGGATTTACTACCTTTATATGCAACTGAATTGGAAGCAAAATGTTCTACAAAAAGAACTAGTTAAAAATAAAGTGTATACAGTGTACAAAATTGTGAACTTTTTACTCTTTCATCATTTCAGTGTCATTACCAGTATATTTCCTTCTCTGAAGATTTAGAAGAATAGGTAAGAAAGTGGCACGGATAATAGTAATGTTCACTGTCCTTAATGCACCTGATAATTTTATCCAGGTCTAATTTTATCCAGTTTTGAACAATCAAAAAAGAAATGTGGGATATTAATAGTCCGCTTATTGCCTGGGCTGGAGTGCAATGGCACAATCATGGCCTTTTGGGCTCAGGTGATCCTCCCAACTAAGCCTCTGGAATAGCTGGGACCACAGGCATGTGTGACCACACCCAGATAATTTTCTTTTAATTTTTTGTAGAGACAGCGTCTCACTATGCTACCCAGGCTGGTCTTGAACTCCTTAACATTAACAGTAATATTGACTTTAAATCAGTATACTAAGCTCTCTGTTAGTGATTTAAAAATTTAAAAGGTGGTGTGTGCCTGTATGCCTAGCTACTTGGGAAGCTGAGGCAAGAGGATCACTTGAACACAGGAATTTGAGGCTTCAGTGAGCTGTGATCATGCTGCTGCACTCCAGCCTGAGCAACAGAGTGAAACCTTGACTTTAAAAACAAGCAAACAAAAAGCTACTTAGTTCAGGCTTATGAGGAAGGTTTGATTAAAATGTAAAGCTTACATTTTAATCAAATGGTTATCAAATGATTCTCTTTGTTGAGAGGAGGGCTGTAACTCAGTAGTAGAGTTGTGAGATATATCTCATTTAGGAACAAATATGCTAATAGGTGAGAATAATTTCCTTATTAATTACTTGTGTCTTATCCGGAGCCCTTTCTCTGGCAGTTAATTTACTGAATGCCAGAGATCCTTGCTTCTGTAGTCCTGAACATGTTTGCACTTCAGACATTCTTGGGCAGTCAGAACAGGACTAATAATGGCTTATGCAGATATTTTTCATAAATTTAGACTGTACATCCTTTGCATAGAATAAAAATTGCATCACTTGTATTTCTCTGTCTTGATTCATTTGTTCTCCTTTTATCTTAACTTTCATGGATGAAAGCACGTATTCATACAAACCCTCAAATTTTACAGATGGACAACATGTTGTAGGGAGATTTTTAAAGAGTGTAGCTCATGTCTTATTGAGGAGGAAGATACAAAGCTAGATGAGCATGAAGAACAAATACAAAAATGTGTGCATCAAGAATTTTGAATAGTAAAATTCTGCTTTTAACTTAATACTTATCATGTTTATGCACCTTTAAGAAACACTCCTTTCCATTACTAAATTTTCACTTTATTTTAAAAGCTTAATTTTTTGGAATTAAGGCATTTTGTTTGCATTAAATGCTTACTGAATAAAATCATAGATTTATTTGTCCAGTTGCAGTTGGACTCTGTTAGTTTTCTCATGTTACATTCAGATAAAAAAAGTGAGACGTCTCAGAGGAATGCTGGACTACAAAGAATTTGTCTTTCAAAGGTAATTAAAGTATAATTTAAACTTATTGCTGCTGTGTGTACCACTTTCCCTTTTGAATTATGAGTCTATAAAGACATGGAAGTTTGCAACTTTAAATCACTCTGCAGTTGTCAATTAAATGTCATACTTTGGGGCAGAATATAAATGGAGTATAGCCTGTTAACAATTATTAATATAGTATCAGTGCAAATTCATACATCAAAAGAGTCAGTGATAATCCTAACCACCTGTGCTGATACATAGTGTGAAATGTACAACTACTCTTTCTCGTAGTCTCCTAGTCTCCCAGAAAAATGAATGCGTTGTTGAACAGCTTAATTAAAAACAAAAGAATAAAGTAACACAACACAGAGGGTTTTAAAATTTGGTTTTAATTTCTGAATTTCACAATTGTGTGTGTGTGTGTATGGGTGAGTAAACACACACACACATATTAGACACTCACATATATCTTGTTAAGGCTTATTTTCAACTGGTTGACTTGCTTCTACCATGCAAAGTATATTGTCAATAAATTCAAGAATTCAATATTTATCAGGCGAATTAGCTTCATGGTTAAATAGTTATGGACTGACTACCTTCTTAATCAAAGGTGATGCTTTTCTTTTTTAAGTTTATCACAAAGCAGATTTATGCAACTGATTAGGACATTACCCTGTAGTTTCGGAGATCATTGCATTTAAGAAAGGGTTTGAATGTGATCTGAACTGCAACCCTTCCTAAAGAGATAGCCTTAGATAAAACAAATATAACTATCATTTCCTAGCATAAATTCTGAGCAATTATGTTTGTGACTATTGCCTAATATTATCAAATAAGAAGTTCATTTACATTCTTCATCTTTTTTTGTTTTCCAAGACAAATCAGAAATCAATCTGATTTGATCTGGGCAATGTGTAACTCTTAAAATAGCTTATATAATTTTTAAAGAAATATTTTAATGTCAATTTAAAACCTTGGAATTAGAAAACAATAATTTTAAATTTTGTTTTGTAGGTCCTAGTAAGGCAGTAACATTCGTTATTACATGATTGTGCTCCTTCTCATAGGGCAGTGGGTGTGCACAGCATGGGTATAAGGATGTGCACAAACATTGTGTATTTCTGGCCTATTTATCTTCCCTATTTCAGGACTGGTTCTAAGAGTTCTTGGACATCACCAGTATGCTGAGCAATTTGGACAATTTCAGTTCCATTAGGCATTAAATGAAGTCAGGGCCCAAATTCCCTGTTAATGCAACAGTTTATGCCATCCAGCATCCCAGAGAAGTATCTCTGTAGCCATTTATTTGGTTTTCGATTTAAGAAGACCCGCACCTGACTGGAACCCAATACAACTATCATTAAAAAATAAAATCCCATTGCCCAGGATTGTTTTGTTCTTCATGTGTACTTCATATCAAGTTATTGTCCTAATTGCCTCATGCCTTTTAGAAAGTTCAGTTAATTCAAAGAGATGAATTAAGGAATGAAGTTTAAGTTCTCTGTGTCTCCTTAAAACATTTCTGAGCTCAACTCTCATTTGAATAGGTAATGAGGACAAGACAATAAAATCTGAGTAGAGTCTCTAGCTCTTGTTTGTGTCTACCTTGTTTTTTTCTCTCTCTCTCTCCAGTTAAATGCCATCCAATTATCTCCTGCAAATATCTACAGAATTGTTCGTTAGTCAACATTATGATACAGGTTGATTATGATATTAGATGATTATGATATTAGACAGTGATTGGTTTAATTAGTTTGTGAACATTTGCATATATAGAGAGCTCTTAATAAATTGGGAATATATTTGAATTTGATCTTCATATAGACATTTTCTAACCTTGGGGATGCCTTTATAATTGCTGTTGTTTTCTTTGTGTTTCATTATAGAAGCCAGAATTCTTCTTGCTAATAATGACATGTAGATAAATACCTTATTAGTGTAGTAACACTTCCAAGAGGAAAGCACATTTTCTAAGCATCTCCTGAAATAAATGTCTTTTTTGAAGACTGGAGGCTCTGAAGCTGCTAATGAGATATGGAAGGGACATTCTGTAAAAGTGACAAGTTATTTTAATCAAAAAGGTCATGCATGTCAGATAGTATTATTGTTTTCTGAAGTGGCTTGACTCAGCCCAAGTCAGTGAGAATTAAGATTTCAATTATACATTACTAATGGCTGGGACACAGGGTTAGTGAGGTAGAGGTTTAAAACCTAAGTGTTGCTGAAACGTCGTCTTGATTTACTGGTATCACTGCTAAGTACTCTGTAAATGCCAGCAGTTTATACCATGTCACTAAAGCCCAAGAGTAATGTCACTTTAGAATTACAAAACAGAAGGCATTCTGTGATTCAGGCAGCACAGCTAACTTCCAAACAAGATTTGAATACTAAAATGAATGTCTTATCTTTGAGAAGCAAAGGCTTTTGAATGTTCAAGTCAGATGTGTTTAATTATTTAAAGGATACTTAGTAGATACTTGTTTTCTGTAAGATTTCTGATCCCTTAACTGACTTTCATAATGTTGAATTGGGATCCAAGAAGAATGGAATAAGAGAGAGATCTTGGGATTAAGTGGGGGTGTTCTATGCTTTTTTTCACTTATCCTTTTTTTTTTTTTGAGATGGAGTCTTGCTCTGTTGCCAGGCTGGAGTGCAGTGGTGCGATCTCTGCTCACTGCAACCTCCACCTCCCAGGTTCAAGCTATTCCCCTGCCTCAGCCTCCCGAGTAGGTAGGACTACAGGCACGCACCACCATGCCCGGCTATTTTTTGTATTTTAGTAGAGACGGGGTTTCACCATGTTGGCCAGGATGGTCTCAATCTCCTGACCTTGTGATTTGCCCACCTCGGCCTCTCAAAATGCTGGGATTGCAGGCGTGAGCCACCACGCCCAGGCCTCAGTTATCTTTTTGGCTTGCTTATTCTTCTTTTCATATCTCTGTCCATACAAGGAGTAGTTGCTACATGAAGAGGGTACTGTCTTTGAAGGTAAAGAAAGCTTTTTCATGTGAGTCTGATAATAGGTATGCATATACTTTAATTTATGTAAATAGTTTAACCAGTGCTGGAAAAAAAAAGCATCATACCTCCAATGGAATAGTTCTGATTATTCAGAGAACCTTTCAGACGAGGAAAAACAGAACATTTTCCAGGGAGTTCTTGTACATCTGCATGCCCCACGGTGCTAAATTTTGGCTTTGCATAGATCCCCTGTGAATGCAGACCTTCCCATTAGCCACTCTCTGTTTCCAGTCGCTTTCATTCCATCACATATGAAGATCAAGCTTAATGTTCTCAAAGAGGGAGAGCAAGACCAAGCACACCCTGCAGAATGGCCTGTGGAGTTTCAGCTCTTGATAGACTTGTCTGCGACAATTTGGTCCATGCTGCTTCAAATGGCAGGAAGAGTAACATCACAGGAGGGTAAAATATTTTCCAAATCTGATTTAATGATAAGACACTGAGTGTTGAGAGAGCACCGAATTCAATGAAGAAGGTTAAGTGCAAAACACCATGATTTTCTTGAGATGTGAGTGTGTTGAGGGAGGGGGATGGAGAGGGAGAGCAGGCAAAGGGAGCAGAAGCTGGAGAGGGGAGGTTGACGGGATCCAGATCAGCATATCTTACTAGGTTAGTATTTAATGAACTGGCCAGTATCAGAGTGATTTGGAGGTGCCAATTAAAATGTGAGGAGCACTGCAATTTTGTGTCCAGGGTTAAGTTAAAACTATGTAATCTTTTTATAAGCTTGAAACATTTTCTGTAGGTTAAGTCTAGCAAAAATATTAATGCCATGTAACCTAACTTTTTTTTCATAGAAAAAATGTCCAGATTTCTTTCCACCAAGAAGCCTGATATTTGTAGAGTTGTTGTTGTTGACTCTGATCTGGATGCTGGAGATGAAAAGATACATGCGAGGCAGACCCATGTCAACCTTCAGAGGAGCCATATTCTAGGGATTTCTTGACAGTGTGCTTGTACTAATATTGTATTTATTGCTTTCAAACTAAAATGAATACTATAATAGACTTAACACAATTGTGAAGACACGCAAAGAGGGCAAGGCTTCTTAATTCTGAAAGTGTCAAAGAAGGATTTATTATAAAGAAAGGTGACTTTAGGTTAGATGTTAAGGAGAGATTTAACTGCATAGGGCTTAGATGAGGAGGAATTGGTTATGATATTTCAGTTTTTGAACACAGAATGAAGAAAGGTGACAAGGATACCCATTTCATTATATTGTGCCTTTGTGTGATTTTAGTGCATATGAGAGTAGGAAAAGGATTGGGTTTGAGCTTCCAGAAGATGGAAACATAAAACCGTACCAAGTGTAGGATTTTAAGGGCCTAAGTTAAGGAGTTTAAACAATATTTATAAATAATGAGAGGCATTAAATATATTTTTTAATTAGAGGTGACTGTTACTGCAAAAAAAGGATACTCTACAAGAAATATAAATTTGATAGCAAGATAACAATTTTGAGATGAGAATGAATAGTGAACAGGTGGCAAAAGACAAGTTAAAAGGATATTGCAATAATCTAATAAACAGAAGTGTTTGTCCAAGGGTTATCAATATGAGATGCAAAAGAAACAATGAAGTTGGGCCTCAATTCAACCTCACAATTGAAAGACACTCCCTCCTTCCCATTTTCCCCTTCTCTCTCCATTCCCTATTCCTTCCTTCTTTCCTCCATTCTTTCCTTACCACCCCCACCCCCGCCCCCAACCTTTTTCCTTTACATGTTATTCAGTGCCTGCTATGTGCTAGGCTGTGGGAGTGAGGAAGAGAGTGGATCAAAGGTAATGCCAGAAGGTCTAGCTTGGCAGAGTAGTAGGGCTATTAACTATGACAGGGAACATTTTAGGAAAGGAGCAGTTTTGCAGCAAGGAATAAAATGACTTTGAATTTGGACAAATTGATTTGGAAATACCTGTGGGACTTTCTTATTGAGATGTCCAGCAAAGAGCTGAAAGAGCTCTCTGACATTACTGCAGCTGAGTCTGGAACAAACAGGCTGCCTGGTGAGCAGTGTATTCCTATCACTAGGAGGGGATAAGACTCGGTCAGATGGCCTTGGGTCAGATGTGTTAGATGGAACTCTGATGAGGGATTATTAGCACTCTTGAACCAAACAGGATACAGTGCCCTTCCAGCCATACAATTCTATGTCTGCAGACATCTGTGCAAGAGAAACAGAGGGAGAGAGCTAGAAAGAGACTTATGTTTTTCATCTGTAACCACAACTATTAACATAAGCATTAATATATCTGTTGACATTTTCCATATTACCATTTTTAGCTTCTTAACCTGTAAAGTAAATGATGGGTGGACTACTAAGGATTGTCTAATACCCACTATTTCCACACTACCCCCCCACCTCTTGTCTGATTATCAAATATTCATGGTATTTGCTGCAACTTAAATATTATTTGATACTTTCTGTTCTCAACCAAGTTATGGTATATATATATATTTTTTTTTTCTAGTAATAATATTAAGTGTTTAGAATATTCTCTTATAAATTAAACTCAGGAAATTTTATGCAGTTGTTCTTCATGGTTTTATTCTATTTTTATAAATTTGCTGCTAGTAAGAAATAAAGGCAAGCTAATGTTTTATCACAAACTCTCCATTATTTATTTATTTTTTTTGAGATGGAGATTTCCTCTTGTTGCCCAGGCTAGAGTACAATGGCACAATCTCGGCTCACTGCAACATCCACCTCCCAGGTTCAAGCGGTTCTCCTGCCTCAGCCTCCCGAGTAGCTGGGGTTACAGGCATGTGCCACCACACCCGGCTAATTTTGTATTTTTAGTAGAGACAGAGTTTCACCATGTTGGTCAGTCTGGTCTCAAACTCTTGACCTCAGGTGATCCGCCCATCTCAGCCTCCCAAAGTTCTGGGATTACAGGCGTGAGTCACCGCGCCCGGCCAGACTCTCCATTCTTTAAAGTGAAGGCTTAGTTCAAATTATTATTAAAATTGCTGTTGTTACTATTCTTAATTTTTTAGTTCCTGATTTTTTTTATTAATAGCAGTAAGTATACTCAATTTTTGCATATACTTTTATGGATATCCAAGGCTTTGAAAAATGTGTGAAATGGAAGGCTATTTATAACTTCAACACATGTATAAGTACAACTTACATATGATTCTAAAATGTAGCACTGACCAATACTGTAATATCAGTAATATCAAAACAGTATATTACTGTTTTACCAATACAGTAATATACTGTAATATCAAAAAGAAAAAAGATATAGAACCTACCTTCTTATTTTCATTTGTATGTGTACTTCTGAAACTGCCTCCTACATATGAAAATTGATCATACCTCTTGTGAGCTTTTTCTCTGTATTAAGTTCATGATAAGCAATGTAAATCCTCAGAAAAGATGTTACCACCGTTTAGTTATCTTTTATCAACTCAATAGATGAGTTAAGATTTAAAACATTTGCCTAGGGAAGTATTTTGCACTGGTCAATTCTCACAGTTTTGTGAGATGAATCACTTTGGTCATTATCAAATGATACATAGCAGTTGAGACATGTATTGATTAAGGTAAATATAAATGACTTTTTATAATAAATAAAAGAAATATAAGATTTAACATTCAATAAGCAAAATTATGACATAAAAATTAAAATAACACTTCAGATGGAAGCATACACTGGAAAATAATTTGGAGAAAATCTGGCAAAATGTGTTAAATTTATAATTTTAAATCCTCTGATTTAGTGACCCCATCTGAAGGACTCTAAGCAAATAAACGTACAGGTGAGCAATGATGTATGTACAAGGTTCTTGATTGAGCATAAATTCTACTGGTAAAAAATTGTATCAGGCCAAGAGCGGTGGCTCACCCCTGTAATACCAGCACTTTGGGAGGCTGAGGAGGGGTGGGTCACCTGAGGTCAGGAGTTTGAGACCAGCTGGCCAACATGATGAAACCCCGTTTCTACTAAAAACACGTAAAATTAGTTGGGCGTGGTGGTGGGTGCCTGTAATCCCAGCTACTCGGGAGGCTGAGGCAGGAGAATTGCTTAAACCTGGGAGGCAGAGGTTGCAGTGAGCCAAGATCACACCATTACACTCCAGCCTGGGCAACAAGAGCAAAACTTTGTATCAAAATAATTGTTTAATACAGTAGAGTACAAACAAACAAACAAAAATCAATTCTATAAAGTTAAGGAACAAGATGGGTCTACATGTACTGTCCTGGAAAGACACATGACATGCTGTTGAGTGAAGATAAACACAATATATATGCAATTCTGTTTATAAATATATGCATTCAAAGTCTGAAAAGATTCACAGATACACACCACTCTATTAGCATTCTTTCATCCAGTAAGTACTAAGTGAGTCCCAATTATTCACTAGGCACACAACATAGTGGCAAAGAGACCTATGAAACAGCTAAAATATATTGTGACGGCTTATGGTATGTTTGGTTTCAATTGAGGGTGCAAGAGTTGCATATGGGCAGGAAAATCCTAGCCTAGACTTCTTGGAAGACATTTCTGAGAAATCGATGTTTTCACTGAAACTAGAAAGAGAAGGAATACTTAACCAGGGAAAAATGATTTAATGTAGAAAAGCAGAGACAACAGCATCTAAAAAAGCCTAGAAGCAGGAAAGAGATGTAATGTATTCAAGAACTGAAAAAGTTAGGTATGACTGGATAGTGTGTAAGAGGGGATATTGTTATCTTTGGGACTGGGATTATACTTGCAAATTTACTTACAATTTTATAAATTTCTCTTTTTGTTAATGAAGATATTCCTATTAACATGAAAATAATTTAAAAACTAGCTAAAATTCTAACAAAGAAAAAATAAGGAAACACTTTAAACATGCTACAGAAAAATAATAAGAAAAGACAAAAGGGGCTAGAATTATAAAGTTGAAGTCTAATACAACAGAGTAGCATTATATATTGAGCCAAATTGAAAGAGACAAATACAGTGATTTTAGAAAATGAAGATACTTCTTTTATATAGGCTATTTAAGGAGCATTAAATAAAGCAGTAGTGCACATCTTTTAAAATTAGACTGCTATCGTAGAAGGGCCCACAGGAATATTTGTACCAATACAGCTGTAAAACACTTATCAGACTTTTTCAGCTATTTTTCTTTTGCCTCAGTTGCCCAGGTATATATACTGGGGCAAAAAGCAAGATCTGGTAAATGACTGTTGGTGTTTTTCTTTCCTGTTTATTACAGTGTAGTTAATAATCTTTGCAATTCCTTCCAAAGGTATGAGCCGACTCTGTATCTGTGGTTCTCCACCTTGGCTCTATGTTACACTCAACTTGGGAGATTTTTTAAAAAATTTATGCTCAGGCCCCACTTCAGGCCAATTAGATTATTACCGCTGGCATTAGGACCCAGGCATTAAATATTTTCATATTCCCAGGTAATTCCCATTCACATCTAAGACTGAAAAACATCACTGCTCTAGGAAGGTTTAGCCTATTTAACACCTTCAATGTATAAGTCAAGTTGCCTAGCAGAAAAATCAGGTACGGTTTCACTCAAATGGATGACTCCAAAGATTTGAGTCAAGAACTCAGAATGAGAGATCTCATTCATGGACTGGTTTGGTGTTGAGGTTGCCTGGGTGTTTGAAGAGTGTTATGTGCTGAATGAAGATGGAATCCTTGGTGTGGGTACACTTTAGCGATATATAGGAGGACTATAACGTGAATATCTTAAACACATTGAAGTTGACCTTAAATTCATACGGCTCTCAGTTTTCTCATGAGTGAGATGAGAATGTAACTACCACATTACGAAGTTGTGAAAGTTAAATGAGGTGATATTTATATAAGAAATGTGCACAGTATACTTCACTCATAGTTCAAAAGCTTCAAAAATAAGAAATAGAGAAGTAAGAGATGAGTCTCTTTCATATCTAATTTGAGTATTAGACATTTGAGTATTATAGCTTCAGTTTTGGTTTCCACATTAGTTATTTTTTTAAGGTGGGTTTTCTTTCACAGTAGAAAGCCAAAAATGTTAGATAGAAAAAGTATGTATTGTCTTGAAAAGGTGAACAGTTGGACATTACGTTTTGAAGGTATTGAAATTTTTCTAATGATCTGTTTTTGGAATGTGTATGTATTGGATTTATCTTGCTGTATCATAAGCTACCACAAATTTAGTGTCTTCAAATACCTGTTTATTAGGTTGCAGTTTTGTAGGTAAGAAGCTTGGGCCGATGTGGGAGGTTTTTCTGCTCAGTGTCTTACAAGTCTGAAATCAAGGCATTTGCTGAGCTACATTATTATCTGGAACTCAAGGGCCTCTTCTGAGCTCATGTGATTGTAGCAGAATTCAGTGCCTTGCATTTGTAAGTCTAAGGTTCTCCTTTCCTTCCTGGCTGTTAGTTGGAGCTGATGTCAGCTTTTAGAAACAACCTGAATTCCTTGCCATGTGGCTCCTCCATCTTCACAGCCAGTGACAGAGAATTTCCCACACTTTGAATCAATCTCCCACTCTCCCCCTCCCCCTTCTTCTCTCATATTAGATAAGCACCACCGAAGATAATTCTGTTATCTTTTAGAGCCAGCCATATCACAGAACTTAATCATGGGAGCACTGGCCCATCATATTCATAGGTGTCTTTCACGCCAAGTATGGAGATGATTATACAAAGGTGTGGGTCATTGGGATGATCTTAGAATTCTGACTACTCCAGTATATGAGACAGGTGAATGGACTATATGTCAGATGTTACTGGGATTTTAAAGCAAGGAATGAGAAGACTATTACTGCCTCACGTTTTATATGCATTTCTTTTCATTTGATATGATGTTTAAAATTATTGATTGGAGATGGGAGATCAGCTGTGATTGATTCCCTACAGGAAATATAGAAAAAAAGTATAGAAAGATATCAATAAGGAATGTAAACCTTTTGCATATGACTTTTGTGTCTGGGAAAGACAATGTACTCTTATTTTCTCCCTTTTTTATTCTTAATAAGTAAATTTTCTCATACAATTTAATTTCATTACAAATACATGCCAAAGACATGAACAAAAATAAGTCTTCATAAAGGAAGGACATTCCACAAATAAAAATTGGCACACGTTTATTGTTTTTATGGGGATTGGGGGAAGTTGTGTTGTTCCACAGAAGAGGCCAACAGCAGCTTGTTGGTACTCTCAGATACGGTGAGTGCAGTAGTTTCCGTCAGTTCCACAGATTTACCACGGAACAAGGAACGACCCAGGAATAAGGAATGCCCCAGCTTGCAGCCTCTTAAAGCTGTAAAACTACTCAGCACTTGCTTCTGGTAGTTGACTGCTATCTTAATAATTCCCTGTACCTCTTAAAGACATGATAGTGTTCATAGCCAGGAAATGTTTAGGTTTGATCTACTTTTCTATTTGTCAGAACCCAATGAAGGAAATCAATCTATTTGTTTTTCAAGCATAAATGGATGAATTCTTGGTTGTTGCTAATAATACAGTGTCTTATTTGGCTAATACCATTTTGTTTAGAAAATAAAAGAAATCATAACATTCTTTTTAAGGTCCTTTAGTAGTTTGTAGTAAAACTGAATTAGTTGCTGTAGATATTTGAACCTTAAGAGTGTGTGTGTGTGTGTGTGTGTGTGTGTGTGTATGTGAGTGTGTATTTGCTGCTGATGATCAATCAGAAGATCCTTAGGAGAAGATCTTTTGTTTAAAGGTGTTTAATTTCGATCTATTCTGTGCTCTGTTATACTTATTACTATACTTTTAGGAGAATTGAACACATATAAATGTAATATAAAAGGGCCATTATGCTACTGTGTAGTGGATTTTAAACTGGAGCGTGAATATCCCTGGGGTTATGTGAGGATGTTCCATTGGCATATGAACTCAGAGCTTTGAGGATACAATAAAACAATAATTTGTTTGGCTAATTGACAAATCGAATGGCTCTGATAACTGGGTAACAGATCCATTTTCAAATCAGGTGGTTTACAATTCTCTACTTTAAGCAAAATTTCAGAGAGGCCTAATTGAGTTGTCAGCCAATATATGATTAAAATAATTTTTGATGGAAAATCATTGACTTTTGGCATATAATTGAGAAGTAGTTCAAGGACTTGAGCGACATTGTTATAATGGAAAGAGTTTCTTCCATTTCCATCTATTTATTTGTGTGAACAAAGAACCTTAACAGTTATAGCAATAAAAACAATAAACAGAACTCTTGCTGGGTCTTTTCTCCTTTTAACAGCAAGTATTAGTCATCCATAGCATGTATAAAATAAATGGGAAAAAGCCATTTCATTAAGAGATTCATTTCTGATCATTGCAATCTTTGTCTAATAATTACTTGTCACAGTTTTAAGTTTTTGCTTTGATAATTATGCTCTTTTAATAATTTTAATGGTAACTCAACCCAAAAGAAATTTTTTTTACACCTAGAGTTATATGGTCACAGGGAATTTTTTTTAAAACCATCTTTAGATACAATTCCTTGTTGCAGAGAAATATGATCAATACAAAGACTTTCAAGCATAAAATTTATTATGTAGGATAAAAATCAGTGGGGATAGAAATATGAGTTCAAAAAGAAATATGACTTAAGTAAAATTTCCAGCAATAAATAAGATCTTGTTCATGGAATGTATTAGTTCATTCTCACACAGCTATGAAGAAGTACTTGAGACTGGGTAATTTTTAAAGGAAAGAGATTTAATTGACTCACAGTTCTGCATGGCTAGGGAGGCCTCAGGAAACTTACAATCATGGAGGGAAGGCAAATAATAAGCAGGTACTTTCTTCACAGAATGGCAGGATGGAGTGAGTGCAAGCAGGATAAATGCCAGACACTATTTATAAAACCATCGGATCTTGTGAGACTCACTCACTATCATGAGAACAGCATGGGGGAAACCACCCCCGTGATCCAGTTACCTCTACCTGGTCCCACCCTCGACACGTGGGGATTATAAGGATTATGGGGATTACAATTCAAGATGAGATTTTGGGTGGGGACCCAGCAAAACGTGTAGTTTGTGCTAGTATTTTAATTAGTCTGGATTCTTTAAAAGAATTATGTACCAGTTTTATTCTAAAATATCCATATTTTTAGTATGCTACAACTTATATTCTTTGCTATTTACACTTACCAGGAAAATAAATTGTTGACCTCAAAATGTTTTAGAGGTACATGGTTTTATAAAACCAGATTAGGAGGTTACATTACGTTGTAAGACTAGTGCTGTTGTGGAAAGGACTATCCACGAAACCACTGGCTTTTCCTATGTTGCAATAAGGGGTTTGGTTTAGGGGCTAAGGACCCAGCTGGCTCTGACACTGACAGTGGTTCACCTTCCTCTGAACTTCTATGGCTCTCATTAATCATCTGAAACATTTGACACTTTGCATATGTCTGGTGGTGCTGTTGATTTGGAATCTAAACCATAACCACTACTTAGTAGTTGAAAAGTTAAGAATTTACCCCCATTGTTGATACTCTAATTTTCATGTAATCAGAAATGTTACCTTTGCGATAAGGAGTTCCTGTACTGCTCTCTCTGCCCCATATTTTCTAGTGTGACCAGTTTGTCACCAAAGGTTGGGTCATATAGATTTTTGCCACAATTTGAGCAAGCTCCTATTACATCATTAAGAGTATGTCACAGTTAGTTTCAATGAAATAATTAGCCAATTGGATTTCAAATAGTAAAATAACACATTTTATTATATGTAAATACCTTATCTTCCAAAGGCATAAATTTAAGGTAATGATAATTGATATCCAGAATGCTTCTGTGTACATACATGTTATATGTTTCAATTACTAAGTCAAAATATGTGGTAGAAATAGTAAGGAACGCAGAGTTTCTTTTCTTCTTAAGGAAATAAAAAGATTGACTTGAGCCAATTTTTATCTGAGGAATGTTAATTTGTTTTATTTAATGCAGCTTAAAACTCTACAATTACCCTTTCTATGAACAGATACTTAATGAGTACATAAACACTTGGTTCCTGTATTTCCTGAAATGTTCCACACTTTAGAGCTGGTTCTGCTGATGAAAGTTGAAGTCATGGGCAGGCATGAGATGGGGTAGGCAAAGAGTATACTGTGAAAAGAGAAATGAGGGCCTCTGATATTAAATATTGCCCAGGGAGAGGAAAAAAAGTTTGGAAGGATCCTGAGTAGGACAATTATAAAAGAGAACCTGGAGCTTGCGGGGAGTTCAAAGCAACAGCAAGAGTCTGTGCCATGTAATACTTAGCAATTTAGTAAAGTAAGGAATCAAAAATGCCCACTGGAATTTTAATATAAAATATTTTTGGCTGGGCACGGTGGCTCATGCCTGTAATCCCAGCACTTTGGGAGGCCTAGGTGGGTGGATAACAAGGTCAGGAGATGGAGACCATCCTGGCTAACACGGTGAAACCACATCTCAACTAAAAATACAAAAAATTAGCCAGGCATGGTGGTGGGCGCCTGTAGTCCCAGCTACTCAGGAGGCTGAGGCAGGTGAATGGTGTGAACCCAGGAGGCGGAGCTTGCAGTGAGCTGAGATCGCACCACTGCACTCCACAGCCTGGGCGACATAGCGAGACTCTGTCTCAAATGTGTGTGTGTGTATATATATACATATATATATTTTAAGGACATTAAAAAAATCAAGGGAGAGGAAAAAGTCTCATTTTCTTCTATAGGTTGGCTAGGTTAAAAAAAAAGTTTCAGGGTGGTCTTTTGTAGTCAGTTTTGTTCTTATATGTGATATTTCTAGTGAGAAAGCAATAACAAAAACAACAAAGAAACTAAATTTTTTTGAATGGTAACTAGTATGAGCAGTATCTTTCTGGGCTGGCAGTGGAGGCTGTAGAGGCATGGAAGGCAGGATAGTAGGGAACCATTTGCTTTGGTTTCCTTCTCGCTTCAACCAGGAGAGAGAATGATGTTCAAGAGAGAGAAAGGAAAACATAGCTTCCATGGCAAAAGAATTACACTTGCATTCCTTTGATAACTGGAGGAAAGAGGAAGGAATGGATAAAGGTCTAGGCAGTATTGTGTGGCTGGAAGTTTGCTGTAATGTCTAATGAAGTAAAAGGAAATTTTGCTGAAAATGAAGGTGGTGGTGGTGGTCCATGATATCAGAAGTTAAATACAATAGAGAATTTTGAAAAACAAACAAACAAACAAACGAAACGGAATATTTCAGGGTTGCTAGAATGAATGGATGAAAGTATTAAAGTGTAAAATTGAGTCCTCTTGAAGGCGAAGGTAAAGTAACATAAAGGAATATACTAACATCCAATCAAATTAGAATAACAAATATTTACTGAGTTAAGACATTATTGAATGTGATGAATTTGAAGGGACAAGATATAAACCTATAAAAAGGTACATAACAGAAATCACATTAATTGCTTCTATAAAGCTGGCTGACTAGGAAGTGTTTAATGCAAACTGGAACTGGAGAAACCAAAGCTGGGATGATCCAATCGGAGTAATTCAATGGCCAACTAAAATGGCCTTTATTAGTGGGAGTTAAGTGGAGTTACTTCCAGATACTTTCACTGTCCCTTGTTTCTGCGTTGTTCCCTTGTGGTACCCACTAAAATCCGTTTACTTTTACCTGCCTCTAAAAATAGCTATATGTCAAAACTACTAAAGGCCCATAAACTTAGTCATATTATCATAGTTTGAAGCCCAGGTCTACCACTTACCAGTTCTGAGAACCTGGACAAATTGTATAAACCCTCTAAACCTTTTTATTCCTATCTGGTAAAACAATGAAAATGATAACCTATGTCATGGGTGTTGTGAGGATTAAATAGACTAAACTATATAACAACCTTAGCATACTCTATGGCATATAAAAACCTACTCGATAGTTGTACCATGTTATTGTTATTAACTTTCTTAATAGAATTCTTAAGGCAAAAGGGTATTGACATATCTCTGTCTACATCATTTATTGTCATTGTTATAAGTGCTAGTTAGTCTAATTCATTTCATTATAATTAGTAAGTGGTAATATAGCTGGAGAATGAAACTCATTTTGATCCTTATAAGGGAATCAAAATGATATCAGCTTTTCATTTCAGCAGCCTGATTATCATTAGATGAACATCAATATCAATTTATAAAATTTACAATTTTATAAAACATGTTATAGTTAATTTTTTGTTTGTTTAGATGTTGAAAAGGACACTTTCTTTTCAGGTCTCAAGATACATATGGGCATAAGCCATAAAATCTATATTTAATTGACATCCCATTTCCTTCTTTACCATCTTTGAAATAAAACATTTAAAGGTTGACTCTGGCTGTGTACAGTATCAATACCGTGGAATCAGTGAGAGCCCAATAGTTAGTTATTTTGACAATCAGTGTTTCTAGGGTGATCCATATCCAGTGTGCATTCTCCTCAGGGTTACATTGCTTATAAATTTTATTTATGGTTCATATAAAGTTTTATGTTCCAGTATTTTTCCAAAGAACATCTTTTATGTCCATGTGCCTTCCCTCAGTTATACTGATAACTGTCCATTTTGTATTAAGAATCACACTGGAAGTAGCTTTTATGATATTTCTGAATTATGAAAGAATTCCATTCCATTTCCAATAGAACCATGCTACAACTAAAATATATCATGGCTGTGCTGTAAGCTAATTGTAATAAAAACCATAATTTGGGCGACCTTCTGTAGCATTGTAATGGCTTCTGAAACTCACTTTGTCTTGGTCAAGTGAAGATTTCAGGTATAGAGCCAGATTGACCACAGCCATCACTGCTTCTTCCCCAGAGAGAACTCAGATTATTGGAAAGTTTTCTACTGAGAGTAGAATACTCTTGTCCTTGGGCAATAGTAGCTCAGAATTTAGTTATTCTGCCCACAGGCCTCCCTAAAATGAATCTCAGTTTGGAGAAAAGAGAGAAACAAAGAAACTAGGATTTTTTTTTTTTTTTTTAGATTCTGAGATAGCATCCACCAACCTGCTACGCTTACTCTGGGGACCTTGAACGGTGCATAGAAAGGCTGTTTTGTTTTTGTTTGTTTTATAAATCAATTTATTTTTGAACTTCCTCAAATATTTACAACTGTGGGTGGAAGGAAATAATTTTCCCTCTCAATTCTGCCTTGGAGAGGACACATTTCTGTGCCCTTTCCAGCCCAAAAGGAAGAGTAGGATTAGAAAGTCTGATGTAGACAGGATTTACCACTTTATCATAGGTCATGTGCAGCTGCTCCGTAAGCAAATAGTAAGGCTCTCAGGACTTTTTCCCTGGGAGTTAGAAGTCTCTCCCCTTCTTCAAGTGAGAAAAGCATAATCTAGTAGTTACAGTAACTGGTGCCCTTGCATATGCTTCTCCACCCCCTCCAATAAGCTTCACCCAAGTCAGCTCCAGGTGGCTTTCCTCTTCCTCATAGTATCTGCCTGTATTTAAACAGCAAGGTTTTTTTAATTCATTAAAGTTTGATTTACTGTTAAACGTATTAAATGTGATATCCCTCCATACATATTACAAATGCACGTCTTTTATAAACCTGTATGTGTTTTTATGTCGATTGTTATTATATGAATAATTTAAAAGCAGTGAATTGCAGTAGTCCTCTTTGGCATCATAACAACATCCCAGGAAACTTTGTGCTCTGCTGTTACCTTGTATTATGGCATATATGAGGGGGAGCTCAATGTTCTGTCCACTTTTTGAGGTGAAAATCAAACATAATGAAAGACTAACTTGGTAAAGCAACGTTAAATTCTGAGTTTTAGCTCTCTAAAGGAAAAGCATAAGGTGAGGGAAGGGAATTTGGTTAGTTCTATTGACATTTGATGACTGTTTACCATGGGCCAGGCTCTGCCAGCAGGGTTGGGAACTCACAGGAGAGAAACACGAGAATTGCATCCTCAGGACATTACAATATACTGGGGGAGATGAATTCAAAAGATTTTGATAAATGACAGATATAGGCATTATAGACATCAAGGATGAGGACGAGCCTTGTTGGTGACAAAAGGTGACAAGGCAGTTCTAGGAAAAATATACCAAAAACGAGAGAGAATAGTAACAGAGGACCTGGCCTTTACAGACAGATGGAATCCCTTTTTCATGGTTGAACCATGAGATAAACTTGCACATGCTTTAAGTAAAAGTAGGAAAAAGCAAAGTTAACATTTCTTGCTTACCTAAGGGATTTCTAGTAGAATAATGTATATAAGGCACCAACCTGGTTATGTGGAGTTGCTCAAAAAAGAGTAAATTCTCTTTCATCCACTTGCACTGGCCTCTTACTAGACAACTCACTATTTTAAAGATGAGACAATTTAAATGTGGTCAGAAATTAAGGTGTAGTCAGATGAATTGGTCTTTTTAAAATATGAAGTCAGCTCCATCAGGTAAAAGTCCAAAATAACTTTCTTTGCTGTAAAATAAAGGTGTTAAAACATTGGTAACATTTTTGTAAATTTCAGAAAGATTTTGTTTGTAAATCTCTTTTGAGAATTTTCTTGGCTAGATGCTGTAATAGTTACTAAATATTTCACAAGTTCACTATGAAAGAGAAGTTGAAAGCCTCCAACAGAACGAACTGACTGAAATATTATGTCTGTCATTCATTATTATTATTACTGTCATTGTTATTATTTTAACAAAGCATTAATAAAATTTATGGTTAGAGGCAAGTACCACCCATACTCAAATAAATTTATTTTGATTTTTCAACAAATTGGTTTGCAATCTTGATAGATGGGAATGTTTCATTTTTATTACAATCCTCATGAATCACAGTAAAATCTAGGTATGAAGTCTAAAAGCTTGTATCTTGACAACATTTAACACAAAGGAAGGGTATTTGAGAAAGGAAAACAGTAATGTTAATATAAAGATGCTTTTTATTAAAAAGTCAGTTATTTTTAATCCTTCCTTGCTTTCTTCTTCCTTTCCTTTTCTCCTACATTGCCTTGTGTTTCTTTTTACTGAGTGATGGAATAAATGTCAGGTCTATTAATGAGGGTAAATAGTAAAGCTTTTAAAAGATTATTTATTTTAGTAAGGGTCTCACAATTTGCTCATTAATGTTGTCTGCAGCCCACCATTCCCAAAACATTTCAAATACTATAAATAATATGTGATTGTACTCCCAAATAACTAGGTTATTGTCCAATCAAGAAAATAGTTTCCTTGATAGTTGGAAATTGAAAGTTAGCTACCAAGCTTGTGATAAGTCATATTCATATTAAAAACTACAAAAAGGAGCTCATGATGGCAAATTTTACATTCTAACTTCAATACTGAAAGTTTGAGAATAACATTTTATTAAAGAATTTCAAATTAACTAGTAAAATAGTATTTAATACATAATCTTTACCATATTTCAGTGATAATGCCTTTGCCTTATTTATATTTTGGACATCTGAACATACTTTATTCTTGTTGACATAATAGATTGTTTCTCTTTAAATCTAAATTCCTTGATTATTTGTTGAAATAAGCACATGTGGAAAATGTTTTTTAGAATGTGTATCTTGAAACTTTTTCTTCTTAAAAGAAGAAAACTTACTCTAAGGGACACTTTGAATTTTGTTTCAGCATATGTCTGCTTAATTTGACAGATAATTTTACCGTGCTAAAATGGTAAAATGCAATTGAACATTTTTTTTGAATGGAAAAATAACATTTTAGTTGTGAATACTTTTTGATATCATCATTTGAAAGAGTTGTTTAGAAAAATAGACCTGTATGTTGTTCCAAATTATAGATTTTGTCCTTAAAATAATATTGGCAATTTGATATAATTGAGCTATGTATATCTTATGTGTAACAACTTTCAGCACACAACAACTATTTTGTCAACCATGTCAGTAGATCTAGTACAACGTGTGATCAGAAGATAAAGGTGTTAAGAAATTTGAATACATTTCTATTTATTTTAGGCTGATATGTTTTTAATAACTCTAGCTTCATAGATATCTTGCATTAAATACAATCTGTTTCAAGCAATTTCTCTTGCAATATTCTGGTGACTGTTCTCTATAAACATGGCCAACTAGCCTATAAAACATGTTTTATTTAATTCATTGCTACCCGTTTATGGCTGCACCATGTGGTAGGAATCCAGAAGCATCAGGTCTACTGTTCTTATAACGTTCAAGTGGCCTCCAGGTGATAGGCACAGCCAGCTGTCTTGGACCAGTGCCAACTCACAATGGTCTTATCAACCAGCAACACTTAGGAAATCACTGAGACAGCCAACAGTCATTTGTGGAACAAGAAAGGACGTGGCAGTTTGGCTATTTTTTAAATTTTTCCATCTGAAGCAGGAATTATCACTAACTGGAGTTTATTCTTTTTTTTTTTTTTTTTTTTTTTTGAGACAGAGTCTCGCTCTGTTGCCCAGGCTGGAGTGCAGTGGCGTGATCTTGGCTCACTGCAAGCTCCGCCTTCCAGGTTCACACCATTCTCCTGCCTCAGCCTCCCGAGTGGCTGGGACTACAGGCGCCTGCCACCACGCCCGGCTAATTTTTTGTATTTTTAGTAGAGGCAGGGTTTCACCGTGTTAGCCAGGATGGTCTCGATCTTCTGACCTCGTGATCCTCCCGCCTCGGCCTCCCAAAGTGCTGGGATTACAGGTGTGAGCCACCGTGCCTGGCCAAGTTTATTGTTATTTGTTAAAAGAATGTTTGCTTTTTGGTGTCTTCAGGTATTTTCAAATAGAATGAATAAAACCATTGTGTGCTGGTCTCCTAGTCCTTCATCTCATTTCCCTCCATACTCCATGACTCAATTAGTTTCTGGGGTTGGGATTAAGTGCACCTTATGCTAATTAGAACTATAGGTTTTACTCCTTAAATAACTCCCATTGGCCTAGCTTTGATTCTTTAATGTAACAAAGATAGATGTGGGAAAAAAGTGACCTATCAAAATATATAACTCAGAAAGCTTTTTGGGATAAACATATTTAATACAGGATTTCTCAGTTATATATTCTTTTTTTACTTAGATAAAACCCCCAAGGGAAAAATAGGTATCTAATGATATATCCTCCATTCAAAACTGTGTATTGCTATTGAGAAGTTTTATGTACTATTTTAAATAATAATTATTAATAAACATATACAAGCAATGCCAAATAATAAAAAATGTCTGTCTTTTTCCTGTGGAGATACTCAGCTCATGCCAATTTGGTTCCCTAAACAACTAGAACTGGAGAAAGCTGTGCTGTGACGTTTGAAATCGAAAACCTGAAAAATGTAAGCTTCTTATCAACTTCCAAATTTGGGGCAAATCTGGATCCTAAAATCAAGACATCTTTCGTAAGATTAGTATCCAACAAGACAAGAATATTGGCTATTGTGAAGAATGCTGCTGTGAACAGGGGAGTACTACTATAATCTTGTCTTATTATGATTCACAATAGTCAAGATATGGAAACACCCTAACTGTCCATTGACAGATAAATGGATAAAGAAATTGTTGTTTCTCTCTCTCTCTCTGTGTGTGTGTGTGTGTGTGTGTGTGTGTGTGTGGAAAATATATATATATAGGGTGATGGTATATACATATATATATATATATATATGGTGATGGTATCAAAAAGATAAAATGACTGCTCTACAATTATTCTCATTTTGAATTTCATTTTAATTTACAGTTTTCAAAACTAAATGCCACCTGTCTTTTGACACTGTTTTCATTATTGAAGGTTTTATAGCTTTAATTTTATATTAATAAAATTAATTATGTAAACATTTGCTTGCTTTTAGGAGCAAAGCATAGGCTACTAAAGTAAATAGTTCATTAATTTTTATGTCAGTCTTGGTGCTATTTACATGCATAGAAATGAAACTAAACGACCCCAGGGAACTTACAGAGGGTTGGTTTCAAATCCATGAATTAATGCAAATGGTAAGGTTACATCATTTGGGTATAAGGTGTATGCTTTGGAGAATGGAAAATAAGCAATCAAGGTAAAGTAGCCCTAGTGCCTACATTATTCATGAAAATGAGATCCTGACATTATATTCTAAGGTGATGTTGTAGAAGATAGAGCTAACTATTTGTGCAGGTACACTATAAGGTCAGTGTGTGTCTGGGGTCAGCTTGCCATGTGGGCAGAAAAACTCTTCTGCTGCATCTTTATTTAGAGGAAATCCACAGAGCTTTCACTTGGCCTACTGTATTGCTAATGTTTATTGCCACCGTAACTGAAATTCCTACAAGTTGAGAGCAATTGTATTTCATCCATTTTAAGCTCTCATCAGTTAAAATATGCATTATATTTATTTTACCTCTAAGAAAAGTACTTCTGATTTAAGTATAACTTTTCACAAACTTAAGTTTTATCCTGATTTTAATAATGCTAAAATGTGAAAAATAAAAAGCCACCTTAAAGTTGTTGAAATATAGTACTGCTTTTATTTTATTAAGAGTGCTGCTGGCTTGGAGGTAAAGCTTAAATATTATTTTTGGAAGGCTGTTTCAGGTTGACACAGACATTTCCTGCGGGGAATGAGAGGTCAGAGACTATATCCCTCCCATTAGCACATTAGAGAGAGAAATGTCAGAATATTAGACTTAATTTGGCAGGGTCCTTGGGATTTCTGCCTCTGTTTCTTTGTCTTCCTATATTTAGTTGCTGTCAATGAGTTTTGGTATGTACAAATAGATTTAAGAACATACATCAGTGTCTCATATATTCATTATTATTTTGTTAATATAGTATTTCTTTAATTCTAAATTTATTTAAATTAAGCAGTGAATTTGAAACCAACCCCCTATAATTCTTGTAGATTGCTGTACTAAAATGTATTTCTAGAAACCTGGTTATCAAACAAAACAACCAAATACTCTGTTCTTAACATTTCATCGTCTTCCAAAACGACACTTTCTTAGCAACTTCAAAGTGGCAACTGATGGTTTGGTAACGATATAATAACAAGGAATAACTCCTATATTCTTAAGAGACTCAGAATTTCAATTCTTACCACATATACATCTATTTTCTTAATTAAAACAAAAAGTCCCAGATAAAGTGTAATGCCCAGAACTTGAATTTTAATGAATGCAAATGAGCCCAAAGTGAGAATAATCAGCTGAAGTTCTAGGATGGAATATTTGTCTTGTATTTACCTTGGAAGCCACTAGCTTTTACTCAACTATAAAAGAAGCCTCAGGAGTGAATATAAAAAGAAAAAAAAATTATAGTAAGAGTTTGAGAACTAACCAATATACTTCATTAATACATTGAATTTTAGTGTGAGGAACAATATAAATTTCATGAAGCCGGATGAAAAAAGAAGAGATCCTTGTTATCTCTTCTGCCTTTTATTTTAACTCTGTGGATAATTTTTTCCCTATACGTCTAGAAACCTGGGTTCTTAAATTATCTCCAAAAATATACTCTGTAGGGTTTATAGCCTTTAAATGTAAGGGTAGCTAGAGAGCATGTTACTCTCACTAGGTAATGGGGTACATCTTTTTAACAGAAACATCCTTGAATTGCTAACACATATCTTCCACTCTGGTAGACTAAATTCTGTTATTTTCTGTTGTTTGTTGAGAAGATAGTTCAAAATCACACCAAAAAAGGCAGTGCCATTATTGTAAGTGTCATTGGCATAGATGTTTTTAATCTCACTGTAGCGTGATTCTTTGGTTAATTGTCTCTCTGCTGCACTAGTCTGTAAAAGCAGTACGTGTAAAAGCTTGTTCACCATTGACGTGAATGGTAGATCACCAACACTCACCACAAAGCTTGACACATATTACATTATATTAAAATATTGAAATATCCTGTGACTTGACCTCAGTGGAATTGGAATGTGAAAAACCATCTTTTCAGAAAGTTGTAGAAAACCAAATTTGGGGTACCATCCAATGGTGCTGAGAAACTGACTTTATAATCTGTTTTTATTTTTTTGCTTTTGGAGTGACTTTAGTTTGTAAACTTTTTTTTTTTGGCTCTTTAAAGGGAATAGCTTTTGAATGTTAGATTAGAAATCAGACTATGTACAGAGCTATTCAGCTCTGAAAACTGTGATAACTTGCTAAAGCTATGTTTACAAGGAGAAAGTAAAAAACAACATGAATGATTTTATAGTATATGTGGGCTGGTAAGGACAATTATAGAACATTTCAGTTATCCAGAACTATAAAGATTTAACTTCTAATTTTCATATAAATAATTTCAAAAATAGCAAAGAGGAAAAAGTAACATTGTTTAAAATTGATATCTGTCTGCATAACAGAGTATCATACACCACATTTCATTTACATAGACCTCTGGTTTTTAAAAAAATCATAATGAATCATGTGTTTCCTAAAATACTCCATTAATGTTACAACTAAATAAATAAATGTAGACATAGGAGTGACTACTATTAGGAAGTGAAAGAAAATTTATTTAGGTGCCAAATTGACAGTTTTTTAAATAATTGTTTTGTTTAGAAAGGTCACATAACATAAAAACAAGTGGATTCTATAAGAAATCAATTACTATTCAGTGTTTATACAACTTTTTAAATAGAAAAAGAAGTTCTCTTAGTTCTAAATATATATATATATATATATATATATATATATGCAAGCATAAATGTGCATTGCACAAGAGGGTTAGTTACTCAAAGGAGGAACATTATTTGCCATGCGTTAATTATCATAATTTTGCCATTTCCACATTGAATCATAATCATTGTTAATTTAAATACAATGGTATGTAACTTATTCATTCAACAAACATTTATTCAATCCCAGGAATGCACTAGAGTGCTATACAACAGTGATACAGAGACGAATTCATATGCTGAAGCAAATTCTAGTTGAAAAAGGAAATATCTTCATATTTGGCTTTCAATAAAAATGTTAATATATTAAAATTATAACCAAGTTCTATTGATATTTCTCCTGCATTCCACCTCTGATAATAAATAAACTCATCCTTCGGGCACTCTCTGAGTTGGATGCTCCCGGTATATCTAATGCCTGGATATTATCAGACATTCTCAGATAATACGTGGTTGGGGATAGAGGGAAAACATTAAAAATGGTAATAATATAAGGTAGCATATGTTAAGAGTGAAATGAATGGTTAATGAATAAATAGAGAAAACCTTATTCTGGGTGCTGAATCACTGAGGAAATTACAAAGAACTAAGTCCTCATGCTTTTTGCTTTTTAAAATTTGTTTTCCTATCTGTCCCTTTTTTTTTCCCCCTTACCAATCTCCTACTTCATTTTCTTTCTGAGTTATTTCAAATGTCTCCTTGGGTATTATCCTGACCAGTAATCCACCCTGCATATTATCACCAAATGAGTCATTCATAGACTGCTTTGGCCATAGACTATGATCTCCACCTTCTTTACTCTATTTAAGGTAGTTGGAAACCTGGCCTGGCGATGGCACTCATTCTCATTTAACTTGCTCCATTCAAAAGAAAGTGCTAACTTTCTTTTACGCCTTTATTGCAAAAAAGAATGAGAGAAAAGAGTAATCTTGAAAAATATAATTTAGTGAGAAAGAGCTGACAACCCTTGCAGTATTATACTGTACTTGAATTCACAAACGCTGAGCATGTGCTTTGCATGGTTTATAAATAGACTTTGGCAAGCTTTGAACTGCCCACACTGTGTTCTGAGCTTTGAGCAAAGCTCTGCTGGCATGCTGAACCAACTTAAGTTCTAATGTGAGTTATAAAAACACAAGGATGACTGGCTCCATTTGGAGCATTGTGTTAGCCAAGCAGGTAAAATAAATTCATGGTTAGACCTCCCCTCCCACGGCATCCCTTTCATTCCTCAGAAGATAATTCTGATATCTCTTCTTAACCAGAGCAGACAATGCAACTATTCCTCTTTACAGATACGATGTTTTATAAGTTAAAAGAACAAAATGAACAAAAAGAACACAACATTCATTTTATTGTTAGTCATCTACCAGAAAGTGGTAACATTGGGGATGGAGATAAAAATCTGGAGTCACATTTTCATAGACTTACACATTAGTGACATTGTTTAGACACTTACCATGTGCATTATTTTTTCTAAAAAGCATTCCTGGTAATGTGGGACCATCTTACATATTTTAATATTAGGTACCATACTCTTTCCATGGCTATATATGCATACAGATCGTTAAACTCAACATGAAAGAACCCATATTTCACCTCTGATGGTACCATCATCTTTTACCATTTCATGTCCTCATCTTTGGTAATGCCAAACTTGTTCAGAACTTGTTGATGGAATGCAAATTCTTCACCAAATGCTTTTGAATGGAGTGCCTAATATGTGTCTGGTACTGTTTTACCAACTGGATGTTTTAATTCTGGGGGCATTAATAAGACATGGAATTTTGTACACATAATACAGAGCTGGTATGGCAAAGTGAGTGGGAGTGACCTAAAATGTAACATATAAGGCCAAGCCAATGAGGTTTTGGGGGAACAGAGTTGCCTGTAACCACTGCCTGTTGACATCAGAGCTACAGAGGGGAGGAAGACAGTGAACAAAGGGCACTGCATTCTCAGGGCAGCAAAACAGCTGCAGGGGCTCAAGATGGGGCAGCAGGGATCTCAACAGGTGAATGGAGGTCTGCAATGGGAAATACAGAGTACATGCTTAAATATCAGTGGCGCAAGGATCAGTATCAGGCCAGATTGCCAGACTTTAAAGACAGAATGCAGACACTAGACTAGAAATTGACATAGGAAATTATAATACTGACTAGAGCTAAAAGTGCACAAAGAGAACATTTGGATTTTTGTGTGCATGTTCCATAATTTGTCTGGACTAAAATATCGAGCTAATTCCAAAGCAAGTAATAGCATGTGCTAATTATTTTCTTAGTCACTAACTTTATTGAATGAATGATTTTCCAAACTTGGATATGAACCACTTTTAATATCTTGGGAAAAAGTATCTGAATGCTATTCTGATCTCAAGTCTGGTTTTAGGGTTTATTGTAGTAGCCATTTAGATAAAATATCTGTGGTACGGTTCATTTGGATTAAGAACACATCAGAATCAGATCCTTTCATTCAAAAATATTTGTTTACAGGATAGATCTTCAGTAAAGAGAATGCAGCCTGAATCATTCAAATATATTTATGAGAAAGAATATAACTTACCTGAGTAATTCCTGGCCAGTCATAAAATGCTGAGGAGAGAAGTTCAGAAGAAAAGAGGGAGGGTGGGGAAGGAAGAGGGAAGCCAGACAGGAAAGGGGAGAGGAAATGAAATAACTGAAACCGATCAACTGCTTTGTTTCAAAGGTGAACTTAAAGATTAAAAAAATTTTCAGTTTGCTGAGAATGATGGTTTCCAGTTTCATCCAACCATCATTCTCAGCAAACTATCACAAAGACAGAAAACCAAACACTGCATGTTCTCCCTCATAGATGGGAATTGAACAATGAGAACACTTGGACACAGGGTGGGGAACATCACACACCGGGGCCTGTCAGGTGGTGGGGGGATGGGGGAGGTATAGCATTAGGAGAAATACCTAAGGTAAATGATGAGTTAATGGGTGCAACAAACCAACATGGCACATGTATACCTATGTATCAAACCTGCACGTTGTGCACATGTACCCTAGAACTTAAGGTGTAATTAAAAAAAAAAAAGTAATAATAACAACAAAAAAAGAAAGTAAAAAAAAAAAAAGAATCTTCAGGTAAAAGAAAGGAAAACCTGGCTGGGTGCAGTGACACATGTCTGTAATCCCAGTACTTTGGGAGGCAGAGGCAGGTGACTCACTTGAGTTCAGGAGTTTGAGACCAGCTTGGTCAAGATAGTGAAACCCTGTCTTTACTAAAAATACAAAAATTAGCCACACGTGGTGGTGCACACCTGTAATCCCAGCTACTTGGGAGGCTGAGGTGGGAGAATCACTTGAATCTGGGAGGTGGAGGTTGCAGTGAGCCGAGATCTCGCCATTGTACTCCAGCCTGAGCAACAGAGTGAGACTCCATCTCAAAAAACAAAACAAAACGAAACAAAACAGAAAGGAAAACCCTATCATTTCCAATTCTTATGTAATTCAAACAGATGAATTCTTCCCTACTTTTTTGTTAATATTGTTCCTAAAAATGTTTGCAATGACTCTTGCAAATATTTGCATATACCCCAAACATACTACTGTAAATTAATTTTTAGAACCAGTTAATACATTTCTCTCTGTTTAAATATATACTTATATGTGTATCATATAATATATATGTATGCCATATGCCATATTATAGTCTCTTATTGTAGTACATCCCCTAGGTTTGAAATAATAAATCTGCATGTTCATATCTCAAATATTATTGCCCTTTTTATGTATTATTTTATACTAATTCATGCAAAGTGCCTACTTTATTTGGCAATAACAAAGTTATTAACATAATAAAAATAAAGACACAGATCTGTATGTTTCTATTGCTAACTCCAACCATTTGTTTCCTTGAAGGAAATTTGTAATTTAGTGTCCATCAGCATATGAAATTTTAGTTTTGACAGTCTGGTATGGTTATATCAGGGTGACAGTGGTACAAGATTCAGAGCTGGTTTTTGCTACTATATCTTTTTTAAGCCATCTGAACCACTTGGTCAATCTATCACTAACCTTGTCAATTCCCCCTGCTTCTTATATCTATTCATTCTTCTCATTTCTACTGTCACTTTTTGAGACAGGCCCTTGTCATTTCACTGTAGGATTCCTGTGACAGACTTCTAACTAGTCCTCTGTCTCTGACTTGCCCTGCTCATTCATCCTTACAGCACAAAAAAGTTAATCTGTACAAAATGCTGTTGTTATGCTATTTGCGTAGGGTTTGCTTTAAACAGTACTTATGTCTATATACCATAAAAGCCTCACCGTGTTTGAGGAGGAAATTGAAGTTCTCAGGAGAGGAGCGATGGTTGAGAAGACTTGAGAAATGAGATGCACTTTCTATAGCGTCTTTAGAACCAGAATTTACACAGGAACATATATCCTAAGGAAAAGCAACAAGAGCAAGGTTTCAACACTCATGGCTTTTTCAAGCAATGGTGAGCAAACTGAGATTGAGGTCCCAGCATTTGTGAGAGATAAAATAGTTGAGTGGCTTCAATTTATGTTTTACTGGAAAAAAGCTGGTATGCCAAATTGGAATTTCATTTTATAAGCCTCAGGGGTTAGGATAAGGGCGAGATGCATTAGTTAGCACTCTTTCAGTTTCTAGTGATAGAAACACACCTCAAATCTAGCTTATGCGGTGCATGTGACATAAATGTTTCAGGGTATTACTGCCATTAGGTTATCCTGAGGCAAAATGACTACATGAGAACATTAGACATCAAACTGTCTTTCTCCTTTTCTCTACTCCTCTTTTCTCTGTGACCCAGTAGAGTTATGCCCTTAGTGCCTGCACTTCTAGTGCTCTTGTCTACTAATTGTTCTAGCAATAGTTCTGGGGTTGCCTCTGATTGGACCAGGCAGGATGCTGTACTCTGGTGGTTGTTTGCAGAAACCTGACTCTGGGATTGGGGTCAGGGACATCTCAACCACATGGACTATTAGGGGAGCAACTCTGGCTCCCTGAAAGAAGAAAGGTCTATTATCAGAAGAGTGGTGTGGCCTGTTGAAGTAAACAAAAGTAATTTCATTTTAGGTTTCTCAGCTGAATGCTGTGAATGAAATAGCTTTTGTGACTGACCTAAGGAAATTTAGCCATTTAGTAATACAGTCATACATTACTTAAGGACAGGAGTACATTCTGAGAAATGCATCCTTAAGCAATTTTGTCATTGTGCAAACATCATACAGTGTACTTACAAAAACCTCAATGGAATTGCCTACTACACACCTAGGCTATATGGTATGGCCTAGTGCTACCAGGCTACAGATCTGTACAGCATGTTACTGTGCTGAATATTGTAGGAAATTGTAGCACAAATGTAAGTATTTGTGTATCTAAACATATCTAAACATAGACAAGGTGCAATACAAATACGGTATTATAGTCTATGGGACCACCTTTATATATGAGGTCCCTCATTGACCAAAACATCTTTATGTGGCACATAACTGTAGTTAGATTCTTCTGATACATTTCTCTAGCCTCCAGTGGTCAGAGATAAGTAGATTTTATGTCCCCAACTCCACAATGTTGAGATTGCCACCAATGAGTGTGTACAGTGAAAGCAACACCCATCCTAAATTTTGCTAAAGTATGAATATTTTTGTCAAGTCATCACAAAATTTTCATGCAGTCTCTTCTCATAGCTCAGGGATGGCTAAACTTTCTGCTCACAGGCTAGTGTTTTATATTGAAAATTTGCTCTGAACCAAATGCAGCAACATTCTTAAGGCAGGATTAAGGGAACTTCTAGTTGGGTCAGGTGTCAAAGTCATTGTTGAAGTAGAAGGATGTACAGTGGGGTGCTAGACCTCAACCCTACACTAATGTTATTACATGCGGATCTCCCAAATCATTTTAACCAACGACTTACATTGAACACCACTGATTTCGCCAATAAAATATGATACTTTGCATCCCTTAGACTCACTGGTGCACATTTTAATAATGATATTTGAAGTAATTAGTTTATTATCCTAGGATTTATTCCTTTTCAGGAATGTGTCCATTTCACTGAGCCACACTCTATGCTGCCAATTGCATGATCTCATGGTTCCTTGAGTTTTGGGGTTACAGGCAAAAAGGCAAAGAAGTGAGCAAGGGGATAACAGATCAAAAGTGAGTTGTGCAGCTGATAATTCAGCAAAGAACAAAGAGACAATGGCATGGGACCGTGTCCTGTTTAGAGCCTACAGCTACTGTCTCTTGCTGGCCTTGCTGACCCAGTGATGACCGAGGAGGAGTCAGGCCAGGGCAGAGTACATGGCCAGGGTAAAGAATACTAGGTTTTGTTGTTTGTTTAAACCTGAGCTCTCCGATCGCGCTGCTTTGGTCAGATACTTCCAGTGGTGTCACAAAGGGAAATGTGATCTTTTGTCTTGCCTTTCCTCCTCTGCCTGCCAGGGAAAAATATATTTACATATGTTAGTTTTTATTTTCCTAGCAACGAAAGAGTAGAACTATTTTACAAACCAAACACAATGTAAACACTTTTGTTCAAGGGGAACCAGATAATCATAGGTCATGACTTCTTTAGTAAAAACAGAACTGTATATTATGTACAACTCATTAGTCATGAGTTCCATAAGTATGTGCAAGTGCTATGCATCTTTTATTCCCTAAAGAACTCAGTCTTACCCAGAGCACCCTTGGTAAAAGGAAATGGCATGTGTGAAGCAGTTCCAGAGAATCAGAACTAATGCCATTGTGAGGCCTCCGAGAAGACCAGCCTTGAGGCAGTAAGTTAAAATTAGCAGGGACTTTGGCAACAGGTGTTTGTTTAGATGCGTGTTTATGAAAATCCTTGCTGATCTTCTTGCTTCTAAAGGAAATGTTCAATGACTAGAATATGGGTCAAGCTTTAACCCTCCTGTTTGTCATCGTGATAAGTGACTCTGATAAAGGGCTGTCTTGGCGACAGGCAACACAATAAAACTGACACTTGACCAGCCATATCAAGTAAACTTGTTAATGCAGCCTAGATGGACAGTAGCATAGTTTTTCCTTCTATAGATGCTTTGAGGGCCTAAACCAATATGTGTAACTGCTAACAAACAGTAGAATTGTGTGTTGCCAGTAGCTGTGACTATTATTGGAGAAAAGGTGATAAACCTCTCATGAGATTTGGGCATGTACTTTAAGACGGTATTCCATAAGTCTTTACATTTTATATTACAATTAAAAAGAAATGAAATAGATCACTGGGCTCTATTTGATGTATAAATTAACACTGATCACCATAAATTTACACTGTACAACTGTAATCCTGAATGTAAAGCTTTGTTCTTTCCCCTCTTGCTGTAATTTGAGGAGCCTGTTCCTCATACTCTACTTTCATTAGGAGGGCTGTCTCTCTCTCTGTTTGGTCTCTCTCTGTCTGTCTCTATCTTTCTGTTGCTTGCCTTCTCTCTGAAGAGGAAGGCTGCCTGATGTAGTCATTTATCTAGCCACCTTGCTGTGTCATATTTTCAATTGATATTGAGAACTTATGTTTTATGAGCATGAACGGTAAGCAGTCATTAGAGCTATCATTGTATTCTAAAGAAGATGCTAAGTCTTAGGTAGTCTGCTTTATTGCTTGCCCTACCAAGTATTTAGCATTCCCTTCACAAATACGTGAAAATAATGCTGGGTGGCGGCTTACGATGTGGCAGCTCCTTGCACTGCATACCCTACAATGTCTTGTCCCCCTCCCTCAGCATTGAGAGCTGCTGAGTGTTCACGTTCCAAATGGGTACTTCTGAGTTTCACTGTTTATACTTCTATACTTGCCTTCATGCCTCTGAAAACAGAAATCAGTTTCTGGGTACTTCTAGTCACTTTATGTGCAGACTTTCCTAATTCTAAGGCTTATTATCTTATTCTTCATAAAATAAATAGGAACATTGTGAATGAATCTAGACAATGCATGGTGCTGAGTAGACTTTAACAATGATTCCTAACGGTTTTTAGAAAGTGTCCATTTTGTCACCTGCAGTCACCCCATATACATATGAGATTTATGGACAAAGACTCCCATTTTATATGCGTATGTATATGTGTATAAAATGTGTATATATATTTATGTGTACATAATATATGTATGTATATATGTGTGTGTGTGTATGTATGTATAAAATGGGAGCCTTCGTTCATAAATCTTTCACTCTGCTTTCCTAACAAGATGAGTATTTAAAGTAGCATGATCTTGGTTTGAAATGAATATCTTCAGCCTCTTACAGGGCCCCAAGTCCAAAATCTGTTCCTTTAAAATTTTAAGGAAGAGCAATGTCTTTGGTGAGAGACAGACATTTTCCTCTGATCCAGGGTGGACCACTCCCATTTCTAATTGAGAGGTTGCTGTCTGAGAATTGAAGATATCAAAGGGAATTTGTAATAAGACTTCACTTTCCCCTGAGCACAGATCAAAGTGGCCCCTGGGCATTTTTTAACTGATAAGGGTCTACACTACTCTTGATACTGGTGGTCAAAGTTATAGAAAGTGTGTAATAGTAACTGCGTGATCATCACTTCACTAGTTCATAGCTATGGACTTGGTGAATTTTTAATCTCTTTCTTCCATGGATACTTTAACATTGTAGATAACATAATAATTTTGTATGCTTTCATTGCAAATTTACAAGAGGATCTCAGGGACAAATCATTGAGAAAGTTGAGTGTGTCATACTAGATTCCTTTAGAGTCATATTTATGCCCTAATGTCATAGCTAGGAGTGTGACCTGGGCTCAAACACTGGCTTATCAGCTGTGGGTAAGTACTTAACCTTTCTTTACTGCCATTCTCTCACCTGTAAAATAGAGATAATAGTAGTTTGTATGCAGTGTGGGCTTTTGAAGATTAAATTGTGTGTGTGTGCATGTGGAAGGTTAGACTGAAACATAATAAGGGCTCAGTCAAATTAGCTACTTTGGTTATTGCTGTAGTGGTAACATTTACACATTTACTATCTTATGATTCTTCTTATTTTTAGAAACTGTGTGGTGGTGATTTTTAAAAAGGAAAATGGCAAGGACTGGGGTTTTGTTTTCTGTTTTCTTTCTCACAGTTAATTTCAGCAATGATCAATACAATTTTTCTCTTTACCCTTATATCATTTTTATTGATTTGGCTACTGACAAGTTTTGAAGCGGTAGTCTCTAATCACTATCTCCACTTTTTTTTCTTTAACTCTAATTCACTGGTTAAACTCATTTTGACCAGATTCTGCTCATAAGATTCTATAGAAGATGCCCTTACTCTATGTTTTAATATCCAACTATTTGCAGAATCCAAACAACTTTAGTTCATGACCATTTGACTTCTTTCTGGCCACTATTAGTAAACTCTTCCTTCTTTTGTTCTCCTTCTGACTCTCTGAGTCCTCCTTGTTAGTGCTGGAAGGATTCTTTTTCTCCATTCACACCTCACTCTCTATCCTTGATATTTTTTACATGCCCAACTGTAGTCATCTTTCATTTCTGTTTTACACATTCTACCTGAGTATCGTCATCCATTCTTTTATTTTGAACTATCATAAAGTGCATATTCCCAAGTCAGCAATTCCTGTTCTTTTTTTTTTTTTAGCCTGAGACGCATTTCCAACTGTTAGTCTCTATCTGAATATCATTTATGCAGTACATAGTCAACTTATCCAAAACCTAAATCATTACCTTCCTTCCTAAAAATTATTTGATAATAATACTTCTTTTATACCTCTGTCTTGGTTAATGGCATCATCATATATTGAGCCTCCCAAACTTGGTTCATCTTTTATCCATCACTCTCCAAATGCCTTCACACGTAAAATGTCATTGATTCTTATAGAACAACTTTTTATACGTTATGGCTATATTTCAAATTGGCCTTTTCCTCTCTTTTTTATTGGCCCTTAGCCAGTAAAGGCCTAAGCCTTTGTAGCTTAGGCCTACATCAAATTTTAATTCAAGAACTGTTGTGCCTTCCTAACTAGTATATTCCTGCCACGAGACCCTTGCCATTCAAGTTCATAATCCATCCTGTTTGCTTCAGGGGATAGTCCTCCATGTTTTTGATCAGTTCACTCCCATGATTATGAACATCAATGGGCTTTTCATGATAAATAGGACAGAATTCAAATCTGCAATAAGTCATAGGTCAATCTGAGGTCTTGTTTACCTGTCCAGCTTCATCACCTACTCTTCCTTGCTCTTCATGTAAACAGTCTATTGTAAAAAATTATGGAGGAATAATTGACATGAAATAAAATGCATATAATTAAAGTACACCATGTTGATATATTCTTATGTATGTATATAGCATGAAATCATTACCATAATCAAGATAAAAAATACCCATCACCCCCAAATTTATTTATGCCCCTTTGTTTTACTGACCTCACATCTCTCCATCCCCACCCCCAGATAATGACTGATAATGCTTCTACCACTATAGATTGATTCCCATTCTAGGATTTTATATAAATAGAAGCACTCTTTATTTTGCATGGCTTCTTTCACTCTACATGATTTTTTTTTTTTTTTTTTTGAGACAGAGTCTTGCTCTCTCACCCAGGCTGGAGTTCAATGGTGCGATCTCGGCTCACTGCAAGCTCCGCCTCCCAGGTTCAAGCAATTCTCCTGCCTCAGCCTCCTAAGTAGCTGGGACTACAGGCGCCTGCCACCACGCCTGGCTAATTTTTGTATTTTTAGTAGAGACGGGGTTTCACCATATTGGCCAGACTGGTCTCGAACTCCTGACCTTGTGATCCGCCCACCTCGGCCTCCCAAAGTGCTAGGATTATAGGCATACTCTACATGATTTTGAGAGCTATTCTTCTTACATGCATTAAAAATTCATTGCTTTTTCTCGATGAGTTGTATTCCATTTTATGGATGTACCACATTTTGTCTATCCTTTCACCTGTTAATAGACACTTGGGTTGTTTCTAGTTTGGAGATGTTTTTACAAAATTAGCTACTGTAAATATTTATGTGAAATTCTTTCTATGGATGTTGCTTTCCTTTCTCTAAATTAAAGACCTAGAAGTGGAAGTGTAGATCATTTATAAGGTATATGTTTTGCTTTTTAGGAAACTACCAGACTGTTTTTCAAAACAGTTGTTTCATTTTACATTTCCACCAGTAGTTCATGTGAATTCCAAATATCCTACCTCCCCGCCAACATTTGATATGCTCAGTCTCCTTAATTTTAGCCATTTAATAGGTATTAATAGGTACCTTATTGTAGTTTAATTTCCATTTCCTTAATAACTAACGATGATGAACATCTTTTATGTGTTATTTGCTATATGACTTTCCTGGTAAATTGTTTGTACAAATAATTTGCCCATTTTAAATTGGACATTTTGTTTTATTATTCTAGAATTTTGAATTTTTTAAATATACTGGATACAATCTTTATCAAATATGTGTTTGAAAGTATTATCTCTGTACTTTCTTTCTCTGAGTAGTGTTTATGAAGAACAGAATCATTTAATTTGATGAAGTAAATTTTATCAATCTTTATAGAGTGTGTTTTTGTTGTACTATTGAAGAAATCTTTGCCGAGCCCAAAGTCACAAAGGTTTATACTAGGTTTTCATCTGTATGTTTTACAATTTTAAAATTTACATAGATAGGCATGTCATTTCTCAAATCACTGTTAAGATATGAGAAATATAAGGTGAGGTGACATAAGGAGTTAATGAATGAGTTTTCTTTGCAAGTTTCAGTTTTATTTGTAAAGACCATATTTATAATAGGCAGTCATGATAATCTGTGTGGTAAATAGAATACTGGTCCGCAAAAGATGTCTACGACCTAATCCCCAAAATCTGTGCATATGTTACCCTTTATGGCAAAAGAGACTTGCAGATATGATCAGGGTTGTTAAACATGAGGGGGAAAGATTATCCAGGTGGGCCCAGTTTAATCACACGTGTCTGTAAATGCAGAAACTCTTTCCCAACTGAGGTCAGAAAGCAATGCAATCACAGAAAAAGGGTTAGAGAGATGTGGCCTTTCTGGCTTTGAAAAGGGTAGAAGGTTCACAAGCCAATGAATACAGGTGGCTTTTGGAAGCAGGAAAAAATAAGGAAATGGATTCTTCCATAGAATCTCCAGAAAGGAATGCAACGGTACCAGCACCTAGGTTTTAGTCTAGGGGTGATTACTGAACTTCTGATCTATAGAACTATAGGATAATAAACTTATGTTCTTTAAGCCACTAGGTGTGTAATAATTTGCTGTAGCAGCAACAGGAAACTAATGTATAATATACGTATCCCCCTTTAAATTCATTGTTCCTTCCATTAAACAAGCAATGTTTTCTTTCATTTGCATTGTTTCTTGTCAATGAGTAATAGAAAGCTTTTCAATGAATATTTATTGTATGAAAATTGAATAAAAAAGATAAAAACTTAAACAATAGATTCCATGGATATACTACCACCTAGGGATAATGTCCACCTACAAATATATACTTGCATTTGGTTTTTGATTTTTTAACAAAACAAAAATAACAGTATCTTGACTATACAATATTGTAACTGGCCATTAGTCTTCAGTATGTTGGCAGCATCTTTCTATGTCAATATATATATTTCTACAAAGTAATTTTACAAGTTGTTGTTTTTTTCATTTTATATGTTTATACAAATGTCCTCAATAAGACCTCTAGTCTTGGACATTGACAGTGTTTCCAGTATGTTCTTGTTCTCAATATATTATGGTATTATAAAAATATCTAAACTCATTGCTTTTACTATCTAGGAGTCTATGCTTTTCTGTTTCTGCCTCCCTTTCTTTCTTCACAGACTTAGTTTTTCTTTTTACCTAATTAAAAATATTTACTTATTAAAATACTCTTGAAAATAAAGATAAGTATAAATAATAAAATAATAGTTACCTCATGCTGTTGTTAATATCTTGCTGCCAAACATTTTGGGATTTTTTGCTTTAGTACTTTTATTTACATTAAAAGTTTTAGCATGATTGTTTAACAAGCTATCATCAATATTCTTAAAAATCATCTTTTTGAAAGGCTACATATTATTCACCATGTGAACATTTATTACTTGTTTAACGTATCTCCCTCTAATGGACACATTTTTTCCATTTTTGAGATTATATATTCCTGATATAGTTTTATACATACACTCTTACACACTGTCTCTGATTAGTTTTTATGATGACGTTTTTAGGGATGGATGTTCTAATCCAAAGGGATGTGTAATTTGAAGGACATATTACCAAATTGTCTTCAAGGAACTTTAATTCAGATCACAACTAGTAGAGTGTAAAGGGCATGTGCTACTGCCTGTCCAAATACCATTTCTCTCATTTTCTTTGCATATAGAATGCATATTATATTTATATTTCAACAAGTCAAGGAAAGGGATGCTTTCTCTTTCTTGGGAGTAAATTCTGATTGGTATAAGCCAACCATTATTAATCCCTTTCTCTTTGTGAGTGAATGTCTTAGAGATGGGACCATAACTGAGTTCTCACCAAAGCCTCCTAAAAATTGTTTCTTTGCTCTTAAAAAGAGATGCAGTAAACTCCTCTTTTCCTCAACTAAATCATATTGATTTTTCTGATAGTTTCTGTAGGGCTTCTGAATTTTAATTCTTCATTCTCTTAAGTCTTTAGATTGAGCTCTGGCTTCTTAAATCCCATCATCATGAAGTCACACAGTATGCTTCATGCTTGAAAGTATTTTATTGGATCATTTGATAGTTCATTAAAGAACCACATTTTAAATAGTTCAGCTGAGAACAAAAACACCGTGAGGTGCTTCAAAGCCGTTCTGTATGTTTAGCACAGCTACTCAGGCCTCTGGTTAGCCATAAAATCATTAGCTATGACTGGGTCATTAGTACTTATAACATCTCCTTTGATACGTATGCTCATCAGTCCAAGAAGTTCAGTTAGTTTTACTTTATACGCTCATATAAGAGTCAGTATTTGTGAGCTGTTCTAGGATTTCCCTCTCCTCCTAAGAAAGTACAATTCCAGGTAAACTTAATTATCGCAGTAAGCACACTGAACAGGGTGTTTCCCTATCTGCAGTGACCGGCACTGTGGATTGATGTGTTACTGAATTTTTCTCCTGGAATACATCTGCCACCCACTCTCCCACATGTACAGTCAGTCTGCATTGCTGTGCCCTGATCTGTGGATTCAGGAATCAATTTATAGAACAAGATGAAACTTTTTTTTTTAATTCTTCAAAAGTATTTAGATCATTTCCAATTTTTATACTATTTAAACATTATAAGGCAATAGATTTGGGGAATATTACTTACCATTTTATAAATGGAGTAAAAAGTGCCAATACCAGACCTCTCTTGGCAAAAGTTACATGTGCAAAGAAAACAAAATACACCTTTATATTTATTAATGAAAGGGCAAGGAACCACAGGCAGGTTTTGTCATAAAATTTTCAAAAAGAAACCTCTCGAAGAAATTTGGTAAAGCCTCAAGCAGTTGTACTGTCAAAAACTAGTTAATCATAAATATAATAATTTAAATTGCCATTTTTTATAAAATGCCTTCATATACAATGTTTGTTGTGCTTTCATTAACTTGGCAATTTAGTACCTGCTTTCTCCAAAAGCAGTGATCAGTCTTTTCTCAAAATAGATTGAACTGCTGTATGAATTCATGCCAAAGTCCACAATGTTAGTTTGAAGAAGCTAAAATTTTATTTTTAAGTCAGCTTTGAAATAAAATATATTGCTCAGTTTTCTCCCCTCAAGGAATTTCACTTTCTCTGAGCCTACTACTCTGGACCACAGGCCTCTTTTGCACATAAATTAGCCACCCCAACAGTAATAGCAGCAACCACCACTCATCTCTAGGGACAACTTTTTGACCATTTATTTTGTTCCAAGCATAGTTTTAAATCCTTCATAAATATTTTCTCTGAAAGTCCTTATAACAGCTGTGTGAGGTTGTTTTCAATTTTTTTTTTCTATTTTACAAATTAAAAAAAAATCCAGAGCTTAGAGTTGAATTAGTTTGCCCGCCTAAGGTATGTATTGGAGCTAGCATTTGAATCCAGGTCTGCATTGCTGCAAATGCCCAACACTTGTGGTAGACTAAGATGACAACCCCAGGATGTCAAGTGCCTTTAAGTTCAAGCCTATCAAAACCTACCTATTCTGTATGTACCCTGTGTATTAGTCTGTTCTCACATGGCTAGTAAAAACATATCTGAGACTAGGCAGTTTATAAAGGAAAGAGATTTAATAGACTCATGATTCCACATGGCTGGGGAGGCCTCACAATCATGGCGGAAGACAAAGGAGAAGCAAAAGCCTGTCTTAACATGGCAGTAGGCAAGAGGGCTTGTGCAGGGGAACTCCCCTTTATAAAATCATTAGATCTAGTGAGACTTATTCACTGTCATGAGAACAGTATGGGAAAGACCCGCCCCCGTGATTTAATTACTTCCCATAGGGTCCCTCCCACGACATGTGGGAGCTATGGGAGTTACAATTGGAGATAAGATTTCGGTGGGGACACAGACGAACTGTATTATTCCTCTTGTGGCCCCACCCAAATCTTATGTGCTCACATTTCAAAACCAGTCATGCCTTCCCAACAGTCCCTCAAAGTTTTAACTCATTTCACATTAACTCTAAAGTACATAGTACAAAGTCTCTTCTGAGAAAAGGCAAGTCCCTTCTGCCTATGAGCCTGTGAAACAAAAGCAAGTTAGTTACTTCCTAGATACAATGGGGGTATAGGCATTGGGTAAACAGCCATTCCAAATGGGAGAAATTGGCCAAAATGAAGGGGGTATAGGCCCCTGCAAGTCTGAAATCCAGTGGGGCAGTCAAATCTTAAAGCTCCAAAATGATGTCCTTTGATTCCATGTCTCACATCCAGGTCATGCTGATGCAAGAGGTGGGCTCCCTGGCCTTCTGCAGCTCTACCTCTGTGGCTTTACATAGTACAGCACCCCCCACCCCGACCCCCCGGCTGTTTTCCCAGCCTGGCATTTAGTTTCTGTGGCTTTTCCAGGTGCACAGTGTGAGCATTTGGTGGATCTACCATCCTGGGGTCTGGAGGACAGTGGCCCTCTTCTCACAGCTCCACTAGTCAGTGCCCCAGTGGGTACTCTGTGTGTGGGCTCACACCCCACATTTCCCTTCTGCACTGCCCTAGCAGAGGTTGTTCATAGGGGCTTCACCCCTGCAGCACACCTCTGCCTGGACATTTAGGCATTTCCATACCTCCTCTGAAATCTAGGTGGAGGTTCCCAAACCTCAATTCTTGATTTCTGTGCACTCACAGGCTCAACATCACATGGAAGCTGTCAAAGCTTGGGGCTTCCAGCCTCTGAAGCCACTGCCTGAGCTGTACCTTGGCCCCATTTAGCCATGGTTGGAGCAGCTGGGACACAGGACTCAAAGTCCCTAGGCTGCACAAAGTAGGGGGTTACTGAGACCAGCCCAAGAAACCATTATTTCCTTCTACACTCTGGGCCTGTGATAGGAGAGGCTGCCACAGAAGTCCCTGACATGCTCTGGAGACATTTTCCCCATTTTCTTGGTGATTAACATTTGACTTCTAGTTACTTATGCAACTTTCTGCAGCTACCTTGAATTTCTCTTCAGAAAATTTCTCCTATTGCATCCTCAGGCTGTAAACTTTTCAAACTTGTATGCTCTGCTTCCTATTGAATGCTTTGCTTCTTCAAAATTTCTTTCTCCAGATACTCTAAATCATCTATCTTAAGTTCAAAGTTCAACAGATCTCTAGGGTGGGGAGAAGAAATTCCCCCAGTCTCTTTGCTGAAGCATAACAAGAGTCACCTTTGCACCAGTTCCCAACAAGTTCCTCATCTCCATCTGAGGCACCTCAACCTGGAGTTCATTGTCCATATGACTATCAGCATTTTCATCAAAATTATTCAACAACTCTCTAGAAAGTTCCAAACTTTCCCATATTATTTTGTCTTCTTCTGAGCCCTCCAAACTGTTCCAACCTCTGCCTGTTACCCAGTTCCAAAGTTGCTTCATATTTTTGGGTGTTTTTACAGCAGTACCCCTTTCTACCAGTACCAATTTACTGTATTAGTCTGTTCTCATGCTTCTAACAAAGACATACTTGAGACTGGGTAATTTATAAAGGAAAGAGGTTTAATGGATTCACAGTTCCACATGGCTGGGGAGGCCTCACAGTCATGGCAGAAGGTAAAGGAGAAGCAAAGGCATGTCTTCCATGGTGGCAGGCAAGAGGGAGTGTGAAGGAGAACTCCCCTTTATAAAACCATCAGATCTCATGACACTTATTCACTATCATGAGAACAGCATGGGAAAGACCCACCCACATGATTCAATTACCTCCCACTGGGTCCCTCCCACAACACATGGGAATTATGGGAGCTAAAATTCAAGATGAGATTTGGGTGGGGACGAAACCAAACTATATCACCTTGGTACCCTTTCTAGCCATAAAAAGTAAACAATAAGGACTTTTATGTTAATATTCCTGCATTTATATGTAGCTCTTATAATATTAAAGTGAGATTACCTTGATTATTTTTTCCAGAGAGTAATTTTCTGCATTCCTCAACATAGGAGTGAAAAAAAAACTGTTGAAGTGAGATTTGTTTTGGCATGTGAATCATATAAATACAAAATTTACTTGCTTTAAGGGTCTTTGATCTGGCATTTAATGTAAATTAAGTCATGCTTGTAAACAAGTTTTTTCTAAATCTTTATGAGTCTACTTGCCAGAGTAGTAAGCTCTTGGTCATCTTTTTCTGCCATTTTTTTGCAAGAAAAAATATATTTCAGTAAAAACATAATAAATATTATGGATCATCTTCTAGAAAGGATAAATATTTTATATCCCTTTCAATATAAGTGTGTATATTTAGAGGGAACTGTGCATCTCAATTATGGAAACTTATTTGTTTTTTTCATCAGCATACAGATAAATTAATGCATTAGTATTGTCTGAAACTGTAACAAATTCTTGACATGATCCCCATCCTGCCCTCACTGGGGATAACCACTATTCTCCATTATAACTAAACACTTATTTATTATATAAGACATATTATATCTTGAAACTTATTCTGATAAAAACAGTATTCAATGAAAGATATTAAAATGTAACATTTTAGTGACTATTCTTGTTAATAAACTTGAATAGTCTCAATGTTGTAGAAGATAGGCATTGTATTGCCTGTTTATTCATTTTGTTTAATACCATTGTTCACTTTAGCTGGAAATATTATCACTTTGAGGGATCTCTCTTTCCTTCCTTATGATATTTGAACAGAGAAGGCAGCTGGAAGCAGAGGCACCTTTTTTCTCTGAGACTCTGTGAAGTGTACATCTGTACCTGTGCCATCTATGCTTGTTCTTTGTATTTCCAAAAGCCAATGTGAAAATGGGTCATTCTGTTCTTAGTAAAGGAGTAATATTCTTCCTGCCAAAATTAATGGATATCACATCATTCACATCATTGATCAGTATCCCTTTCATATTTATATTAGAACAGAACATTGAGACGTTTATTGGATCCATTCCCTTTGCCTCATTTCTTCTTATGCAGTTTATCCTAAAATGAAGATCAGGGACAACACTGCTTGGTGTTCTGTTCTAACTTCTGTGTTTGTACCTTCAGCATATGTTTTGATTACAGTAGAAGTCGCATAAAATCTGAGTTTTCTGCCCAACTTCTACACATTTCAGGAAAGAGGTTGTTACTGCAACCAACAAAAAAGAAAACCAATAAAAAACAAAGATTTAAAGTAGACTACATCACTAAAGCATATTGTGTTTGATGCTGAAATATTTTAAAAACATATAAAATTTAAAAACTCATCTCTGATAATCTATTTTTGTTTTACAGTTCTGAATACTCATTGTACCTTTCTTAAGGAAGCTGATACTTGATATGAAGAAACTGAGGCACCGAATTTAGGTTTTTGTGAACTGTTTATAAATTAAATCATTTGCATCATTAGAACACAATACAAAATTGAAGAAAAGATTAATAAAAAGGCCCCTTTCAGTAAACTTAAAGAAGACATAAACAGATGATCAAGATATCTCAATTTGTTTGCTATAAATGAAGAAACAGAAATAGTTTTTCAGAGCTGCTATTTTATTATTTATGTTTGGTAGGACATTTTTTAAAGAGAAAGAGAAACAAGACTATGGAATATATAACCATCACTCCTCATTCATTTACTCTCACAAATATTTACTGAACACTTTACTGTAAGTAAAATTGAGTAAAAGCACAATTCTTTGCCTTTCTACTTGTACTTTTTAAATTGAATCATCTGACTCATAACAGTGAAATTATAGCCCATAGGATTTTTCAACACAGGGAAGCATTATGTTATGACTAAACAAGTACACATTTAAAAAGTTTGATTAGTGGGTGCACACACACGTACACACACGTAACAATATATAGCATGTATATGTGTGTGTCAAACAGTATTATATATTTTTTTACATAAGAACACTGTTTAATCTTTTGAAAGGTGGTTACAAACCAACAGAAAGACATTTCTCTTATATTAACTAGTATGTTAATTAATAAATTAAGATTATTTAATTTCTCCTATCAAGACTTAAAGTCTAGTAATAATTATTACCTATATTAAGTCCTTTCAATTTGTGTAATATATTTACTGTATTACATCTCTTCATATTTTAGTATTATATTACTCTGAATACTATCTTCTCCAATCATTGGACATTTTCTTTTCTAAAAGTGACTCAAAAAGAAGGCAACTTTTATATTCTTTTACCTTACATTTTTATATCTCTTGGATCATATAAAGATTTATTTTAAAAGGAAAAGGCAATTTAAAATTTTTGCCTTATAGGCTTATAAATCTCTCTTTCCCATCTATATATATCTATACATATAGACATAGATATATATAGACATATCTATATAGATATGGGCCTTTGGGGCAATTTATTAAAAAATTCTATCCTCTCCCCTGATTGTACTGCCTTTAATTATATTAACTAGGTTTGCATGAGATTTCTCTGAAAGTTAATTGAACCCATGTAAAACCTAGGCATTTGGTAATCATACTCTTTTTTTATTATTATTATACTTTAAGGTCTAGGGTACAAGTGCACAACGTGCAAGTTTTTTACATATGTATACATGTGCTATGTTGGTGTGCTGCACCCATTAACTCATCATTTACATTAGGTATATCTCCTAATGCTATCCCTCCCCCCTCCCCCTACCCCATGACAGGCCCCAGTTAGTGCTGTTCCCCATCCTGTGTCCAAGTGTTCTCATTGTTCAATTCCCACCTATGAGTGAGAACATGCGGTGTTTGGTTTTCTGTCCTTGAGATAGTTTGCTCAGAATGATGATTTCCAGCTTCATCCATGTCCCTACAAAGGACATGAACTCATCCTTTTTTATGGCTGCATAGTATTCCATGGTGTATATGTGCCACATTTTCTTAATCCAGTCTATCATTGATGGACATTTGGGTTGGTTCCAAGTCTTCACTATTGTGAATAATGCCACAATAAACATACCTGTGCATGTGTCTGTATAGCAGCATGATTTATAATCTTTTGGGTATATACCCAGTAATGGGATTGCTGGGTCAAATGGTATTTCTAGTTCTAGATCCTTGAGGAATTGCCACACTGTCTTCCACAATGGTTGAACTAGTTTATAGTCCCACCAACAGTGTAAAAGTGTTCCTATTTCTCTTTGCCTAGGTGGATATAAAATTGAGTTCCAATTCTAATGTGTCCAGACAATTTTAACCATTTAGTTTTAAAATGTAATAAAAGATAAATAAACAATAACTTGCTCAGTTTTCTTTCAATTACATCAATGGTTAGAAAAGCCAAATTCAGTCAGCTCAAGATGAGTTATTTACAAATCAGCCTACTTGGAAACAGATTAGCAATTTAAATAGCTAAGTTAATAAGATCCAATTATAGCTAATTTGCCCATCCTTTCTTTCCCTTGCCCTCCCACAGGCTTCAGAGTGTGACTGCTTTGCATGAATTCCTGGGAGCAATGGGGAGGCTTGTGGGGCAGGCGAGTTTGCAAGAAAAACAAACACAGTCATTTTTATTATTACACTTGTTGCAGCTGTACTGGACTCTGCAGCCTAGCAGTATGTGGGGGCACCAGCATAGCCCAAGTCTCTCACAGTTCTAAACTTTTCGGTTAAAGATTATAGACATATGTATACTTTATATATATATATGTATGTATGTATGTATGTATAAGTATATATATATATGTGTGTGTATGTATATAAAAAGTATATATTTCTTTTTATCAGTAAAGCTTACAAGCAACCTCTACTAGCATACCAGATGGGATAAGGAAAGGAAAGGATTGATACAGAAAAAACATCTGAGATTAAACACACACACACACGCACACACATACACACACAAGAGTATGTATTATATAATGTATGTGGGTATATTCATGTGTCTACACATATGCAAAATGCTATTCTGATTCCTTGATTTCCTTCCTCTCTTATCTGGCTCACTTTTTCTAATACTCCTTCATTTCACACTTCTCCCACTTTGTTTTCATACAGCCTATTCTCTGAAATTTTTCAAAGCTTTCCCCCTCTTGTCGTTTAATTCTGTAATCCTTTTCCATCTTTCAAATACTAAATCCTCCTGCTCTGTGCCTTAAAATTTTTTTGAAAGCCTACCTTTGTTCATTTTTATGTCAACATCTATGCCTCTACAATGTTAACTCATTGATGTTTATAAACATCTTTGTTTTATTATTTAAGAAATGTCAGTGTTATCAGTAATAATATATTTTAAATTTATGAGATTTTAGAGGACTTTTCCTTATTGCAGGACAGATTAACTTTACATTGATTTTCTCGTTACCTGTGCTAAAATACATCTGAATTTTATTTATTTTGCCAAGCACTGTGTTTTTCAAGAAAGATATTTGTATATTCATATTACATTTTTGTAATTGAAAAGCTACAGGATGTGAAGGCAAATAGTTGAGGAATTTGGGGATAGACATTACTAAGAAAATTAACAAATATGGCATCTAGAGCTTAGAAGCAGCTTCTGCTAGTAGTGTACTATATGGGATAAGGAAAAGATAGGATTGATATAGAAAAATCGTCTAAGATTTATGTTTAGGGATGTGATAGAACAAAGCATCCTTAAGAATTGTTAAATAGTTAAAATATCTTTCAAATAATAAAAAATAGAAATAGGGGGTGCAATTGGTTAAAAAAATGGGAAAGATGGTTTGTTAGTTAAGAAACTATATTCTGCACTTGTACATACCAGATCACTTCTGGTATGTACAAGAAAAAAGAAATAATGTTTCAAGTTTGATGATTATTTTTACCTTTAATATAACATTTGTTTCAGACAGATTATATTCCCCTGATCCAGGAAATGATGAACACATATACCTATCAGGTTAGCCCTCAGAATGTTTAGTGGACATAATATTTCATATACCCAGATTACTCATATTTTAACATCACTGAATGGCCTTTAGAAAAGGATTTGTAATGAATTAGAATGCATAACGTGAATTTTAGAACAACACACCTGCTGAACGTCGGCCTCTCCCACTGCTAAGTTGCACAGTCAAAACAAGCCCTTTCACGTTGGAGAATACATTTTTAAAAAATAAAGAAAGGGGAAAAATAACAAAATGAATATTTAATAAGTTCACATAAGGATATACAGGAAATAATATGTCTTTGTTTAATGGACACTTAGGCTCATTTTTTATACTTAAATTATCAGTTTTAGATAAAGCAGATCTTAAGATTATCAGTTATGTTATAATAGCCGTGATTATTAGACAGTAGTCATAAAAATGAGAAATTTACAACTCAGCCACTTCAAGAGTGCTTTTCCTGGCCAGGCGTGGTGGCTCATGCCTGTAATCCCAGCACTTTGGGAGGCGGAAGTGGGTGGATCAGAAGGTCACGAGATCAAGACCATCCTGGCCAACATGGTGAAACCCTGTCTCTACTAAAAATACAAAAATTAGCCGAGCATGGTGGCACATGCCTGTAATCTCAGCTGCTTGGGAGGCTTAGGCAGGAGAATCGCTTGAACTTGGGAGGCAGAGGTTGCAGTGAGCCAGGATGGCGCCACTGCTCCAGCCTGGCAACAGAGTGAGATTCCGTCTCAAAAAAAAAAAAGTGCTTTTCCTACTTAAATTACTCAAGTATGTTTCAGATAATTCATTACTACTATGCATGCATTGTATAACTAGTCCATGCTAAGTATAAGATGCCTGGGAACTATGTGTATAGAAGATCTAGAGTACAGGGAAATTCCTTTTGCTTAGATTGGCTAATCCAAGGCCAATTATTTGATAAGGTTATTGTACCTAAGTCACTAATACATACCTGTCTATCTCTATTCTTTGTTGCTAAAGTTAAGGCTTTGAGGTAGCCATTGTTTCTTCTAGTACTCAACTCACAAATAGTGTGTATTGCTGGTCTGAGACATGCAGTAGGAGATCGGATGCATGATACATGTGGTTCTGTTCTTCTCCCAATATACCCCCAGCTCTAGAGGAATGGTGATATCACAACAGCACGAAGAACACCTCCCAATTTCCTGGCAGCAAAGCCTAGATGAGAAGCAATGAATGGAAAGGAAAAAAAAAAAATGAACAAACAAAATCAGAAAGAGTGAATGTCCTAAAGGAGTGGAAGTCTATTCTTCCTTTCATGGCCCTTCCTTCCAATATGTTGTTAATTGGTCAAAGGGTACAAAGTTCCCGTTAGGTTGAATAAGTTCTGGGTATCTATTGTGCATCATGATGACTGTAGTTAATAATAGTGTATTGTATACTTGAAATTTGCTAAGAGCAGATTTAAGTGTTCTTACCACAATAGACGTAAGTGTGTGAGGTGATGGATATGTTAATTAGCTTGATGTGCGAAAAAGTCACATTGTACACTGTAAATAAAAAACATTAAGAAAACAACACCTTAGCATTGTGGGGATTCAGAACATCATGCCCCAGAATATGGCCCCTTGACAACAGAGAAAAGTACAGAGCAAGTTACTCTGACCTTCTCCTGCCTTTCTCCCCTGAAACAAGTTCATAAAGGAATTCTCTGACCTACCTTGCCTAAAAGTGAGTATAACACCTTCATTCCTGAGAGATCCTGCCCTGTACCTGGGATGGAAGGAATATTATACTGAGACACAGGAAATAATTTGAACAAACAGGCCTTGCTGAAGTTTCTTACTGTTTATTACCATTAGATCCCACCCCTTATTGTCCAATCATGTTTCTCTACAACTATCCAGTTATTTCATCAGACTTAGCATAAATGTACAGTTTGGGGGTTTTTGGGTCTTTATTTTTGAAGGTTCCTGTGTTATGTAAAACTTTTTAAAAATGAATTTGCCATGCTTTTCTCTTATTGATCTGTCTTTTGTTACAGGACTTTCAGCCAGGACCCTGGCAATGAGTAAGGAACATATATTTTTCTCTTCTACAGTATTCATATTCATATTTTGCCAATATTCTCTTAACCAAATTAGTGAATTGCAGGGCTGTCTATTTCCATAGTAGCTCAGTTGATTGTTCCTAGTAACTCTTTATGAATATTACCTTGTTCTTCAATGCTCCTTTCCTTTTATCATCAGTAAGCTATAATATTTACTAGCTAGTATCCTCAATATGCATCTCATCTGTGAATAATCGTAGCCATGTGAAGCAAGCCTATAAAGGGATGACAAATCTGGGATATCCATGACACTACTCCCCTCTCCTGCTTTTAAGAGACACTCATCATCAATCATTGCTTTCTTTTTCCTACTGAACTATGCAGGCATCACAGTTGTTCTTGACCTTGTGTTCAGACAGCCACCACTGATCAATCAGTGTTAGCACAAAATAAAACTTGCTGGATATCATTTTTCTCTATGGTCCCATTCTCATCTTAAAACAAAACCGAAACCTGACCCCATGTTGCATGTTAGCTATCACTCCTTGTTCTCTCCTTTCCTTAGCTAAGCTCTTTGAGTGTCTACACTAGCTGGCCCACTTCCACACTTCACTTTCACTATTCAACACATTGTGGTCTAGTGTGTGTCTCCTGCTCCACTGAAGCTGTGCTGAGAAGCTCAGGTTGTATGGAGCTTGTAGCCACTGTGTTTCTGCCTCAAATTTTTTCTTCCCTGGGGCTCCCTCCTACTTCCTCTTCTGTTTCTCTTCTTGCCTGTCTTCTGACAACTCATGAAGTGCCTACGGCTTAGCAATTGTTTTCCCTGGGATGTCCTTTGTCAATCACTATTACTCTCAGGGGTTTAATTATCACTCTTTTTTTTTTTTTTTTTAAGACAGATTTTTGCTTTTGTTGCCCAGGCTGAAGTGCAATAGCACGATCTCAGCTCACTGCAACCTCCGCCTCCCGGGTTCAAGCGATTCTCCTGCCTAAGCCTCCCAAGTAGCTAGGATTACAGGTGCCTGCCACTACGCCTGGCTAATTTTTGGTATTTTTAGTAGAGACAGGGTTTCACCATGTTGGCCACGTTCATCTCTAACTCCTGACCTCAGGTGATCTGCCCGCCTCAGCCTCCCAAAGTGCTGGGTGGGATTACAGGCGTGAGCCACCGCGCCCAGCCAATTATCACTCATATTTTGAAGACTCTCAAGTCTATATCCCCTGCCTTAGCCCTTTCTCTGATGTTTATTTAGTCTTGTATATCAAAATATCTAGTGACCATGTCTTCTCAGTAATCCACAGGAAACGCGTATGTATCATTTACACATCCTGTAGTCTCCTTCCTACAGTGATATCATCGTCAGCCAGTCATGCCTAGTTTGCTGGACACAGGCATTATCCATCGCTTTTGATACATCTCTTTCACCTCAACTGAATCAACTGTCAAGTTCCAAATTAAATAGTTCTTTATTTTTTTCTTCTTCTCTATTTCTTGTCACCACTACCCTGACTCAAGGCTTATAATCTTTTAACTAATCTCCTACTTTCTCATTCTACTGGTCTTATATCCATTCTTTGCACTTCAGTTAAAGAGAACTAAATATATTTTAAATAAACATCCAACCATGCCATTCACTTAATCAAAATGTGTGGAGGCCTCCCTAATAACTATGCAATAAAGGCAAGTCTCCTTAGCATAAAATAAATAGCCTTCCATGATCCAAACCTTCTTAACTCTATCTTTGGGTCTAACACTATAATGATACTGGAAGATATGTTGCTCTTTGCATAAACCGTGGTGTTCCTGACTTTATATCTTCACCCTTAGTGTTACTTAGGATGCCATTTCATTTTTTCTTTGTTGGTCTTTTATACATAATTTAGAATGTTCTGTATATACTTCATCCGCTCTATAAAACCTTCACAGAGGTTTCATCTAGCTTTAAATCCTATTCTCTGAATGCCAGTAACAATGTTATTTTTCATGCAGTGGGTTGCATCATATTCACATTTAACTTAAGTTGCTAATTTTAGAATCTAACTCTGAATGAGGAGTGAAATGCAACTTGATCCATTGTGTTCAATGTTCAAGAACAGAAGCATGATGGCTATTAAGTAGGGCCACTTGAGGTGGGGGGAGGGGGGAGGGATAGCATTAGGAGATATACCTAATGCTAAATGACGAGTTAATGGGTGCAGCACACCAGCATGGCACATGTATGCATATGTAACAAACCTGCCCATGTACCCTAAAACTTAAAGTATAATAATAATAAAATAAATTTTAAAAAAAAGGAAATGGACTATGGGATCACAAATCTCTTAGTGGCAATATAACGAAATGTAATATTTTAGCAAAATAAATACACATTGTTTGGTCTTTGGACTTGCATCATTCTTTTAGGTCATTCTAAAAGTTTGTTTATATACATGTATACACGTGTATATATACGTGTATATACGTGTATACACGTATATATGTGTATATATACAAGTATATAAGTGTATATACATATATACGCATATACGTGTATATACGTATATATACGTATATGTGTATATATATACATATATATGTATATATGTGTGTGTCTATATATACACATATATGTATATATATGTGTATATATATATATATACACATATATGTATATATATGTGTATATATATATATATAGTTTTCAAGATGATGCTCTTCAGACTTGTTCAAAGCAACCAGAAATAAGCAATTTATTCCTGTTTCTCTGAGATTGCTTTTAGAAATGATATATAAGTACTAGAATTTTTTTTATAGTTTGATACTGATAATTGTGGGCTGTTCTTTTTTAGATAATTTGAACGTAAGTGCTAAAATTGTGTTTGGTTTTGGTTACTTTATATGTTTTAACTTTTATTAATTGCTTATTATTTCTACTATTGTTTAACAATTAAACATGTCTGGGATGTCTGTCTATTGTGACGGAAAGTGCTTTGCATCCTGTTTATTTCTTAGTGAAATTCTTGAATTTTCTTTTACTTGCTTGTCATATGTTCTTTTAAAAGTCAATAATCATATTCATACACTTACAATCCTTCTGGATTTCTGGACTCGTAGGAAAAAAATAAAATAAATATTTACCGTTCATTTTATTTAAAAAAAAAAAAAGTAGGGCCGCAGTAATTGACAGCATTTGAAAAGATAAGGAAGCACATACCCCAGTTCTTCTCTATACTTTTCAAAGTTGTAAATTTGATAAAGAAAGATTTAGATAAAATCCAGCAAACATTTATTGGTACCTACTGTGTGCCAGCCTTTAAGTTTATTACTTTTAAGCCTAACGAAAACAAAATCAACCTTGGTTTAGTTTAGAGAAGTGAGGTTTAGTATTAAAATAGAATTAACATGCAGACCAGCAGGGATTCTTTAAGACAGGGATCCCCAACCCCCAGGTCACAGACTAGGACCAGTCCATTGCCTGTTAGGAACCAGGCAACAGCAGCAGGAGGTGAGTGGTAGGAGACCGAGCGAAGCTTTATCTGTATTTACAGCCGCTCCCCATTGCTTTCATTAATGTCTTAGCTCTGCTTCCTGTTAGATCAGTGGCAGCATTAGATTCTCATAGGACTGAGAACTCTACTGTGAACTGTGCATGTGAGAGATCTAGGTTGCGTGCTCCTTATAAGAATCTAATGCCAGGCCAGGTGCAGTGGTTCACACCTGTAATCCCAGCACTTTGGGATGCTGAGGCAGGCATTTAAGACCAGCCTGGCCAACATGGTGAAACCCCATCTCTACAAAAACAAACAAACAAACAAACAAAACAAAAACATAAAAACAAAAAAACAATCTAATGCCTAATGACCTGTCACTGTCTCCCATCACCCCCATATGGGACTGTCTAGTGCAGGAAAACATGGTCAGGGCTCCCACTGATTCTACATTATGGTGAGTTATAATTTTTTCATTATATATTACAATGTAATAACAGTAGAAATAAAATTCACAATACATGTAATGCACTTGAATCATCCCAAAACCATCCTCACACCCCCACTGATCCATGGAAATATTGTTTTCCACGAAACCCATCCCTGGTGCCAAAAAGGTTGGGGACCACTGCTTTAAGATGTTCCATTGCCTCCATATTCACTTAATAGTCTTGTAACTGTGAACAGAAAAGTTGGCTATCCCGTCATTTCCACAAAACTTTGCTTTTGATTCTTCCTTTATTCTTACTCAGTGGTTCTTACTATGTAGAATGCAAAATCATCAGGACAATGATGGTGTACAAGATGTTATATATTGGATTTCCATGGATGATTTAAAGTATTTACAGTCTTTTCTCTATATGCCAAATGTGCTTACTTAGACTCTGTTATCACTTAAGATGGGATGCCAGTTAAGAAGTAACTCCATGATAGCTATCAACACTAGCTTTACAGATGACTTCACAATTACATAGGACACTCCTGGAAAGCATGAACATACTCTTATGTATTTCTGTATCCTCTAAGCCTAAGTTAGTGTCTGGAATGAATTAAGTGCCCAATAAATCTTCGTTAAACTGAACTAAACTGGAATTCAACACTGCTAGTACCCAAGATGGAGAGGATCTACTGTTCTCTTTTTTGATTGTTAACCACTCATTTATTCTTGTGCTGGAGAGTCTCACCTCTTAAGAGGAACCCACTAGGTTCTCTTGTGTGTGTGGATACAGAGATTTCAGAGGCCTGGCATGAGAAGCAGCAGCTTTTTAAAAGTCATTTTCAGGAAGAAAGCAAAAATAAATGAAAAGTTGAAGTTGATATGTATATAGGGGTGATGTTACTGGGTTTTTAAAAAAATAACAAAGACTGATGGGGTATGAATATAATGCTAAATATTTAGTATGCTAAATGACAAATTTTATTATTTTGATGTGTTTATACTTCAGTGTAACAAGACGTGGCCAGCAGTAACCATTCCACTCTGATCTTCACTAATCTGCCTTTAAATAGAGTGCTGGTGATTTCCCCTTTATCATTTTTTATTACGTCTATTTGATTCTTCTTTCTTTTCTTCTTTATTAGTCTTGCTAGCGGTCTATCCATTTTGTTGATCTTTTCAAAAAACCAGCTCCAGGATTCATTGAGTTTTTGAAGGGTTTTTCTGTGTCTCTATCTCCTTCAGTTCTGCTCTGATCTTAGTCATTTCTTGCCTTCTGTTAGCTTTTGAATGTGTTTGCTCTTGCTTCTCTAGTTCTTTTAATTGTGATGTTAGGGTGTCAATTTTAGATCTTTCCTGCTTTCTCTTGTGGACATTTAGTGCTATAAATTTCCCTCTACACACTGCTTTAAATGTGTCCCAGAGATTCTGGTATGTTGTGTCTTTGTTCTCACTGGTTTCAAAGAACATCTTTATTCCTGCCTTCATTTTGTTATGTACCCAGTAGTCATTCAGGAGCAGGTTGTTCAGTTTCCATGTAGTTGAGCGATTTTGAGTGAGTTTGTTAATCCTGAGTTCTAGTTTGATTGCACTGTGGTCTGAGAGACAGCTTTTGATAATTTCTGTTCTTTTACATTTGCTGAGGAGTGCTTTATTTCCAACTATGTGGTCAATTTTGGAATAAGTGCTATTCCTCAAGGATCTAGAACTAGAAATACCATTTGACCCAGCAATCCCATTACCGGGTATATACCCAAAGGCTTATAAATCATGCTGCTATAAAGACACATGCACACATATGTTTACTGCAGCACTATTCACAATAGCAAAGACTTGGAACCAACTCAAATGTCCATCAATGATAGACTGGATTAAAAAAATGTGGCACATATACACCATGGAATACTATGCAGCCATGAAAGGGATGAGTTCATGTCCTTTGTAGGGACACAGATGAAGCTGGAAACCATCATTCTGAGCAAAGTATCACAAGGACAGAAAACCAAACCACATGTTCTCACTCATAGGTGGGAATTGAACAATGAGAACACTTGGATACAGGATGGGGAACATCACACACTGGGGTCTGTCGTGGGGTGGGGGGAGGGGGGAGGGATAGCATTAGGAGATAGACCTAATGTAAATGACGAGTTAATGGGTGCAGCACACCAACATGGCACATGTATACATATGTAACAAACCTGCATGTTGTTCACATGTACCCTAGAACTTAAAGTATATTAAAAAAAACAGAGTGCTGAACCCATCTTTTTAAACATCTTTAAAAAAATAGTTATGTTGCCTGTGGAGTTTTAGAACTTAATGTAATGAAAGTACTATCTTTCTATGAACCTTACAGTTTGTTTTTGTTGTCATTTTTACCATTATTTGATAAAGGTAAGTAGACAAATAGATAACACATTCATATTGGACTATTCATTAAGAGGTCTAAGAAGAAAGGTACTCTTAAATTCACAAGTGGGGACTACAAAGCAATATGAAAATGATCAGGATTTCCGTTTTAATGAAATAATGGAATCACATTTAAAACATTATTTTATTTTTTTCCAATTAAAAAAATTAAAAATAGAAAACTCAAAAGCAAGATTTTTATTTTCTGAAATATATATGTATTGATCTGTTCCTTCATTGTATTGCCATGGTTGCAAACCAATGAAGGCCATATAGGAATAGTATTAACAATATTTCCTCTCTGGTAATGTTTGTTTGCCTAATGTTCTGTTTTTATATGTAATATTTTATGCGGGATTTTGTTCTTTAAAAAAAAATCAATAAAGTGCCATTGATTAACAACAACCAGACTACATGTTTTAGTAAACTGAACCACTTTGGCTATTACTGGTAGGATAGACACTTTTTAATATAAAATGCTGAGCCAGAGGAAAGCAAATAGATTTCTCTTTCTTTTAGCCAAAATGTAGAGAAAAGAGAGGCAAATGATTCACAATATAAAAAGTTTAAAAAAATCACACAATGAATTCGCTACTTACAAATGTACAGGAGTAACATATTGTCTGGTTCTCAGGGACTTGTTAAAGGGTGAAGATTAGTGTTCTGTTATGTAGAGTTAATTGTGTTGCATTAATGCCTTAAAATAACTTGGATGATTATGTAAAAAGCAGTTTTTAAATGTCGGTTAGAAAATATCTCAGTAAAAGATCATTTTGCCCTCTTCTTACTAATTATAACACTTAAAAGATATTATTTAAAATAATTAATGGTATACAAGTAGGGGGAAGAAAGCTAACTATTGTGTTTTAAGTGGCTGTTTATTTAGAGCCCTTGGACATCAATTATATCTCACAGTTATAAATGTACTTTCTAAGTAGCATTCAGAACAAAATAATGTGAGAATTTTTTTGACAAAAGTTAAATCACATTTGGGATACTGAAATGAAAATTGATGACCAGATTGTTGATGGACGATTTCATTCTCACTAAGCGAGCATCCTCCCACTAAACGAAAGAAAGGTCTTTGCATTATTAAAAGCCCATTCTGCAACACTGTTGGGAATTTGGTTGGGTCATGAATGCTGGCAGGTTGTCAGGGAAACAGGAATAATGCACTGAATGCATGGTCTTCTTATAAAATGGGCTTAATATTGCTACTTTTGATTTTCTAATTGCTGATCTAGAATTTCTAATAGTAACATTAAAGGAGAGGAACATATTTTCTAGTTTAATTACATATACCTCTCTGTTGGCTTAGTAGTAATAAAAATATTTTCTGTAGGTGTAGAATATCCTTACAGTCCAAAAGGAGAGTACATGTTCACAATTAAAGTTTGAAATTTGTGCTTTGATAACAGCATGTTTTATTCATTCATTTTTATAATAATATTACTGAGCCTGTATCATATAGTGATGAACTTTTCAGCTGTTTTGAGGGTTTGTGTTAGCCACATTCACATTTGTATAACCTGTGTTTCTTTTTTATTTTTCTTTATTTTCATTTTAGATTTAGGGGGTACATGCGCAGGTTTGTTACAAGGGTGCACCATGTAATGCTGGGGCTTCGACTTCTATTGAATTCATCACTGGGTAAACATAGTACCCAATAGGTATTAACAGTTTTTCAACTCTTGCCCTTCTCCCTCCCTCCCTCTTATGGAGTCCTCCATGTCTATTGTTTCCATGTGCACCCATTGTTTAGCTTCCACTTATAAGTGAGAACATGTGGTATTTGATTTTCTGCTTCAGTGATAATTCACTTAGGATAATGACCTCTGGGTCCATCCATGTTGCTACAAAAGACATGATTTCATTATTTTTATGGCTTTGTAATATTCTATGGTGTATATGAATCACATTTTTAAAATTCAGTCTACCATTAATGGGCACATAGGTTGATTCCATGTCTTTGCTGTTGTGAATAGCCCTGCAATACACTCACAAATGCAGATGTCTTTTTGATAGAATTACTTCTTTTCCTTTGAGTAGATACCCAGTAGTGAGATTGCTAGGTCTAATGGTAGTTCTGTTTTTAGTTCTTTGAGAAGTATCCATAGTGGTTTCCAAAGGAGTTGAACTAATTTACATTCCCTCCAACAGTGTAAAAGTGCCCCATTTTTTTCACATCCTCACCAACACCTGTTATGTTTTGACTTTTTAATAATAGACATTCTGACTGCTGTGAGACTTTATCTCATTGTGGTTTTAATTTATATTTCTCTGAAGATTAGTGATGTTGAGCATTTTTTCATGATTTTTGGCCACTTGTCTGTCTTTTGATAGTTTGTTACCCTTTTTTCTAACCACTTGTTTAGAAGGAGGCTTGGGAGAGTCCATTTCCAACTTACTTTCTCTGAGACAAACTGACTTTCGGATAGCATGACTGGACCTCATATAGTAACTACAAGTACAAGAAAAAATGTCTAATATGCTTCGATTGCAAATATGTATAATTATTTTAGTATACAGAAATGCAAGAAAATACAGAAATTGAGCATCCCCTTCAAGAGATGCTAAGGAATCCTAAAATGGGAGAAGGCTATAAAATGCTTGTTCATAAATTAGTATTTGAGTTTTCCAACATAAAACCAATAATCTGGCCATAAATAGTTGAATGCTTAAATTGTGCTCTAACATCATTGCCCATAAGCTAATAAACCTTAACTGTAAATTAGAGCACATTTTATGGATATGACAAATTTATCCAGAAGAATACCTTTTTCCTCAGCCTGCTTAAGCAAGCCTTCAATGTCTCTTTAATTAAACTTCTAAAATAAAAGTATTATCCTCATCTGATCCTGGAATTCAGGACCCTGCATTAGTTTCCCCCGAAATCATTCCCAGCTAATCTCCTGTAGTTTCCAACTGCTTGCTTTCTTCAGATAAACTTATTTCCCAGCCACTCCACTTGCTTGCTATGAGTTTCTGTGCAAGTTCTATTATGTCCCTTTATTTTATCTATGACTTGGTCTAAATAAAAGTGATGGGCACACAAAAGTGCTTAGTAACTTCTAGCCATTGTTTTTATCATCATTCCCAACTATGTGATTAATTCACTCTACTTCTGCTCAAAATGTCTCACATCCCTCTTGCCACCGTTCAAACCCTGCCGTGTTTCAAAGTAATATTAAAACATTTTTCTTTTACATTGTTTGTGTGCAAGAAATTAAAGACACTGTCACTGTACCTTAGTACTGCTTATGAGTTGGGAATAAATGTGTGGAGTTCCCCGGTGATGGCAGAAAGGGCAGGTCAAGTGTCCCAAGAACCTCACCAGGCAGGAGTATTTGATAATAATATTCAAGGGAAAATGACAACTGTTTTGAAAAGCATGCCATTGTGATAACATAAACTCAGTTTAGAATCATTTGGTATTAAAAGAATAAGTAATGGATATTGTTTCTTCCTTAAGATTCACACCATGTGGGTACTGTATAATTAGGAATTCTCTGTTATGCCTCAACCCACATGTTATATCCATATTACCATTGATTTCATAGCCGCAAAACCCACATTGTGTCTGGCAGGCAGGACTTTTCTCCACGCCAGATTTTCAGGTAAAAAATCTTAGAGTATGGTTGTCGAGGACATGAACTTGCCTTTTACCTAATTTACTGTTTACAAACTTGTGTGGCATTTGAGTTATGTATTTTGGTTTGAAACACAAATATTTTCCTTTGTTAGATTCAGCTAACAGTATTTTTAACTTGTTTTCATCCCCTAACCACCTTGCTGAAATTTCAGGGAGACTGGGTTCTTCTGGTTGCCATTTCCATTGTAATTTCCTTATGGTCTAGTCAAAATATTTTTATACTGTGTTTATTTAAAAGTGAAAAAGTTCCTTTCCATCCAGCCTAAGGGGATAGTATCTTTAGAACCAAGAATCTTTCATCTCCTCTTTCACTCTAAATATAACGGATACTTATCTTTTATTGAGGGAACTAAACAAAGAGTTCATCAGCTAATCTCTCTCGTGTGTCTATTTTAAGTTCCTTTACAAACAAAATATTTTACAGTCCCAACAGCCATAAAAGAAATTCCTGACCTTGCCCATTTTTGAGAGACTGGGAAGTCAAACTATACCCTATAGGAATCAGTCCTCAAAATCATTTCTTTTCTACTTCAGAAGTGTGTATGTGTTTTTTTAAAAACTGCTAATGAAAGCATTACAAAGATTAGCTTTTGAAGTGGCAAGCAGCTTTCATTTATTTTCCTTCTGGTATTCCCTCAGCCTCCAGCTAAAATTTAGAACCTTAAAAATGTTGCTCTTTGGTACTAAATTCAGTTGATATTCTATCAAAGTGTATTTGGTTTATCAAAGCTTCGTTCTTATCTTGCAACTCAGTATTCCCGAGAGAACACTAGTCAGGTTAGAACTGACAAGCCTGTGTCTAGTCCTTTCAAACTAGAATGCACTCCCTCACCTACTGCAGGTCTGCTTACCTGTGCTGGTTAATTCTTTCTCCCATTGTCAGGCAGAGAGGCGAGTGCTCACAATGTGGTAAAAGAGGAAGTGATCACTTCCAAGAAGGAAAACCGATCAGAGAGTCACACAGAAATTAATGGCAGGAAGAAATACAACATGAAATAAGTAGATTCATAAAATTTAGAAGATTTGGAAATGTTTTTTGCCATACTGTGTTACTACCTAAAGAAGGAAGCTGTATCTTTGGTTCTTTTAATGACATCTGACATGGAAAGACTTGGACACTAATTAGATACCAGTGATAATTTTATATCAATAATCTTTCTCTTCTTGAATGTCATAAATTAGCACCAGTGAAACTTATTTTCATATTTCCCATATGTCATTTTTTTCTGTCAGAGTCTTCAGTTATTGGTTCCTGAAAAACATGTGCTATTTGTAGATTTTTAATAAGTTGTCTCATTTTAAAAAAATTCTAACAAATTAAATTCGGTCATGGAATCAAATTGGATTAAGTCAGTATTGTCTTCCCAATACATCAAAGAGCCTCTTGAGACAGATTTGGAAATGACATAATCTTTCTTGGAGGCTTTGTTGACCCTTGGGTGCCATGTTATAATAACATTTGTCCGAAGACTACAGTTACGGAATTCCAAAGGCCAGTCGCTAATATTTATCTGAAGGCTACAATAGCTATGGATCCTTGAAATTCTATAATTTTCTGAGATTATGATAGAACAGGTAAATTCCATAGAATGATGGGAGCAACAGTCAACTTCAAAGGGTTGAAAGCGGAAAGGTAGTATAAGAAATGGAAGTACCAGGTGAAAGCCTATGTTCAACAAGTTTGACGCTGAAGGAAAGGCCCATGATTGGGCAAAATTTAGAAGTTAGCGACAGCAAGATTGAATGGATAAACATTAAAGTAGAGCTGCTTTGTTAAAGTAAGGGTCATATGAATTCCGTAAGTTGTCTGGTGAGGGCTGAGCCTTGGGCTAGTGTATCCCCTGAAGGGACACAGGCTTGCTGGAATCGAGGATAGTAAAAATGAGAGATCCCTTCTCAGTATAATATTCAAATCAACTAACATGACCACAAAATTCACACTAATTTAGAGGAGGCTAAAATATGGTGCGTGATTTAGTGATATGGTCTGCAATTCAACTGATGTGAAAAGTTTTTTTTTTTTTGAGTCTCACTCTGTCACCCAGGCTGGATGCTCACTGCAACCTCTGCCTCCAGGGTTCAAGTGATTCTCCTGCCTCAGCCTCCTGCGTATCTGGGATTACAGACACCCACCACCAGGCCCGGATAATTTCTGTATTTTTAGTAGAGACAGGGTTTCACCATGTTGGTCAGGCTGGTCTTGAACTCCTGACCTTGTCATCCACCTGCCTCAGCCTCCCAAAGTGCTGGGATTACAGGCGTGAGCCACTATGTCCGGCCTATGTGAAAAGTTTTATTTTCACTTGATTGTTGATTATTGTGGGCTCCAGCATCCACCTGGAACTGGACATTTAAACTGCATATTATTAGAAAAAAATATGAGACCTAGGAAAGACTGTATCTAAGTTTTGGCACATATAATTACACAATCACCTACTCCGAATTTAGCTTATAGTTTCTATATCATAACTGGCTCAAACAAGAATAGATTCAAAACCAATTTTTGTAATATATAACTTTAATGAAATATACCCAAGAAGTTTCATTTTAATATGTGTTTACATCAGAACTTGGCACCTTTGTTAGTACTGTTTCCACTGTTATCAAAAGCAATTTCACAGAACAGTTCAATATTTTATAAATTGCTGTACCAGAACGAGGGTGTTTAACCAGCAGTGTCTTCTCTCCCTCAGGAATCTCTGATAACTCTGACAATTTTAAATCAAAGTTCTCTTTCAGACAAGTTTTCATGGTCATGGTTAATTATCAGGAGCCTTTTAATTCTCATATGTATGATGTTTTTCTCATATAAAAAGGACATTCTTACATAGGATCTTTTTAACATCTGTTTTAAAAAAAGTTTTATAGTATTTACCTAATTGGCACATGCTTATTTTACAAATACACACAAGGTTGCTAAATATTAATGTTACCAATAAAATTTTTAAAAATAAGAAGAAGAAATACCAACTCTGAGAAATAACATTATATATAGGTCAATACATATTGAAGGCCAGGATCACAGTTTTATTATATGAGTTAATATATGATAGGGCATGTAGCCCTCAGCAATCCTCTTTTCAAATATCATGGCTTATTTCAAGTGTTTTTAGAATTACAAAATAAACAATTTCTGTTTGATTACTGCAAATGCGTTATATATATTTATATATATGTCTATGTATTTATGTTGTATATATTTATAACTTTGAATTTTGTAATTCAGTTATTATTTTACATCTTCATGTAGACTACAGAAATTTCTTAATTCTACATTATTTTGTTTTGAGTTGCTATCATTAATTGACATGTATTGTTTTTGCTTATATTCAATCGTTTACTTATTTATTCAGTGAATATCTATTGACTGCCTTTCAAAAATTGGGCATTTAATTTTAACAATAGGCAATTCATGTCTTGTTTAGGGAAATGAATGATTTTTATATATTAATTATAAAATTTGCCCTTTGCTGGTATTATGTTAGTCTAAAAATATATTTTTATTGTTTATCTTAGGCTTTATTTTTACCTAAACTTCCTACAAAAAGATAATTTCATCTTTTTCTTTTAATTATCTTTACTTAGATTTCTCTCTATTGACTGGTTGCGGTGACTATTGGTTCCAAAATAACTGTAATAATTAATAGTGGACATCTTTACTTTAACAAGAATGCTTCTTATTCACAAAGCATGCTTCTAGCTTTTGTTTTAACATACACCTACATGCACCTCCATTCCCACCCTCACCACCCTCAACACTTAACACAGAACAAGTGTGTGCTGATAATCTGGATTCAGTAATCAATGGCTGTTATTTATTACAAGTGGTTTGTTTCTTTTTCTTATCCAGACCTAGCTAGAGTTGACCTATTAAAACATGTCATTTATTTACAGATTTCCTGAAGGGGAGTGAGCCTTAAATTTTCAAAATGAGCTTCACTTAGACATATTTTATTATTTTCATACGTTGTGCAATTGTATTTGCTAATATTTTATTTAGGAATTTTATAAATATTTATGTAAGATTTTGTTATAGTTTTCTTAATTCTTTATTCCCAGGTTTTATCTTGTGTCTTTCTTCTGTTTTCCTGAGGTTTCATTTTGCAGTTCTTTTTAAAATTCCCAAGTTGAATACATTATATAGTTATTTTCATTCTTATTTGTGTATTAAGTATGTCTGAAGCTATAAATTTTCTTCTGAATACTGCTTTAGTCATAGCTTATAGGTTTTTAGATTGTAGTATTCTATTTCCTCTTTGTCATAATTACCTCAGATATGACTATTTTGAAGACATTTTAATTTTTGTTGTTTTTATTAGTTCCTGGTTTGTTATTATTTATTATTATTAGCAACCATTTACTAAGTATTTATCAACCATCAAGTTATGTGCTAAGCCTTTGCTTGATGATATTATGGAATGAACACCAGATAACTATGATATAGGTGTTTTCAGGTAAGAACTCTGGGACTTCCTATATATGCATGTGGCTCTTCTTGCATTCAAATTCTTAAAGCTGTGTTACCACGAACAAGTTACTTAACATCTTTGATCTCAGTCTTCCCATATATAAAAAGGGAATGAAAGTGGTACTTATTTCAGTGACATGAAAAGTAGTAAGTCATTACCACAGGAAGTATTAGTCATAATGATAATAGTTAAACCTCTGTCCTAGTTCATAGAGTTCAATGAGTGGCAGAGGTGAACAGAGCCTCATTCCGGTTTTCAGGGTCTTACACTCTATGTTGTACAACTATTGAAGGACTCATTCCCAGTTTGCTATTTTTGTACATTTTTATTTATTTGTATAGTTCAGAAATTGGGAGAGTAATTTGTAATTGTGCTTTAATAAGACCACATTTTAGGAAGTCATGTGAAAATACTTATGATTGAGCCATAATTGTTATGAGAGCATCCTCTACTTTATGGTTATTGCAATATCTATTGAGCTTTCTTTAGCCTTTGGTTCATAAGGGGAAGCATCACTCCTGTAAACATTATCAACTGAATGGAGCATGCTTTTAATGATCATTATCCGCACATCATCTCATACAATTGTGAGGACATTGCTGCCTTATAACTGTAGTAACAGAAGCAGTAAAGGAGACTTCTGCCTTTTAAAACTGTGTTGGAGAGGCAGAAATTCTGAAAACGTAAGGCCAAATTGAGTTTGTTCAAACTAAATGCAAATACTTACATTTAGTTAATTTAATGCTATTGATATTTTTATTTGTTATTATTCAGTTTTTTAGCACTGATTTCCTGCTTTGCATTACAAACATTATTTTAAATATATTAGTCTCATGCTAGCTAAAATAAAGTCAGATTTTATTACAATCAGAGGTCGAAAATCCCTGTATTTGTGGCTTGAGTTTGTTTATTTTACTACTGTTTTGCTGTAGTTACACTGAATAACATAAAATAACATTTTTGTTGCTATTAATAAAGTAGAAATGTTGGCTTTTAGATATGTGGATAGAGCAAATAAAAAGGGAAAAAAACAGTTTATGAATTTGTTCACTTTCATAATATTGTAAATTGGAATGAATACAAAATCACTGAATTGTAATGCTGTTAAAAATTATTTGATGAAACTAAGTTCAATTTTAACCTAATCAATAGCTACTCATTGATAAGATTTTCCTGATGAAATTTGTTTTCTGAAAATTGGTTCTGAAATCTTAGTTGCTTAAATCATTTGCAAGAAGAAACAAGGTGTCCATGCCTTTCCTTAGGGGGACAAACTGATATAGTGTTTCTTGCTACTTCTAAACTCTAAATATAATGGAATAAATGAAATTATTTCTTTGTTTTCACCATCTGAATGTCTGAGAATCCCACAATGACATTGAAGAGAATGATTTTGATTACCTCGGACTTACCACGGAAAGAAAAGTCTGACTTCAAATTGTGTCTTAATAATAGTGGACCAATGTTTTTGTTAAATGAAACTCCACCTGCCCCTCAAACTATTCTTGTGCTTCGGCTTATGTGCTTGATAGCACAGTCACTTCTCACCTAATTGTTGCCATAGTGTTTGAAGCCAGAACATAAAGAAGCATCATGTTCAGAAAAACTTAAAAGTATGGCCCTTGTCAGTGGTACTTATACCCCTCCAGACTGACAAATGGTTCCTGAAGCTCTAGAGCACATGGCAACATAACCATATTAATGGGTGGTCCAGCCAGTAGCTGCCAAGGGCTTCCAAATATTATTGCATTATTTAGAAGATCATTTCCTTATTCTACTCCTTACAGAATTTGGCAAATATAAATTGGCTTCAATATTCACTTTACTCGTGGGGGAAAAAACCCACAAACTGCAAGAGTATATTTACTACCTGCCCATGCCTGCAAATTTTGTGGTGCAAATACAGACCTTAAACTTATTCTAAGACCTGAAATCATGTATGAAGCTGAAACTGGCAGTTTTGCCCACAGAAATCTTGACACCAAATGAATGCATGGTATAGAGCTAGTTAACAGGAATAAATAGTATGCTCAATTTCCTATATTTCTAAAATTTTAAGAAACTTGGAGAATCAGAATAAAGTTTAAAAGTGAACCGAAACACCTAGAGTGTCCCAGTGAAAGCTAGAAAATGATTTTTGTATTTACGTTCATGTAAATTAGGTTTTTCCTTTGTAACAGGAATTTTTCATATTAGGATGAATGTTAGGACAAATGGAAAAAGCCTGTGAATGAAGTTAATTTCAAATAAAATAACTTGCATTGACATATTTAATATGTGTAATAATTTGCTTATTTTGATGGAGAACTAAACAATATTTTAATAGAAAATATCTGTTTTTCTCTTATTCCTAATAAATGTTAGGCAGATTTCTCAGGCTGGGGGCAGGTTCACACATGTAATCCCAGCAATTTGGGAGGCCGAGGTGGGCGGATCATTTGAGGTCAGGAGTTTGAGACCAGCATGGCCAACATGGCAAAACCTTGTCTCTACTAAAAATACAAAATTAGCTAGGCATGGTGGCGGGTGCCTTTAATCCTAGACTACTCAGGAGTCTAGGAGGCAGAGGTTGCAGTGAGCTGAGATCGCACCATTGCACTCCAGACTGTATGACAGAGTGAAACTCTGTCTCAAGAAAACATAATAATAAAAATAAATAAATATTAGACAAATTTCTTAAGGATATTTATTTACAGGAGTGCTAAAACGTTCTCAGATTGTCCACCATCTAAGTCCTACCCTATATGACAGTGGCTAATCTAAAAGTTTTACCTTTTATAGATATCAAAGCTGCCTTAAAAAGGTAAAACAAATCAAACTTTGCATATAAACTCACAATAAACAAGGTGTCCTATAGCATTTTGGCAGACAATATTCATTTTGAGAATATTTAAAATAATACTTCTTAAAACAGAACTTGCCAAAACACCTGTCAGACCAAACAACCAGATGGTAGCTAAGATCATATGTTTTTAGAATCATGGCTTTTAAAGATTATGGAGTTTGAAGAGGATTTTAGCAGATTGTCTTACATTCCTAGAATGCTCAACTCTCAAATCTATTTTGAACATATCTCATGTACAGCACACTGTGGCAGGCACTGAGGACTAAGAAGGAATGAAGTGTTCTTCACTTGAATACACTATGCATTTGGGATGTTGCACAACAATGGATCATACACATTATTAAACACTGACTTCCCTGGTGAACGGAAAGTAAGACAAACCATAGTGTATTGCAAAAGGTAGGAACTATGTATTAGTTATCTGTTCATTATCATGTAGACAAGTATTCCAGACCTAAAACATTGACTTAGGCGAGTGAGCAGGGTATGATGGAAAGAGACAGATTGGCAGTCAAGAGAAGCTGCTTTAGATCCTTTTTCAGCTACTGTAAACTTTAGAAAATTACTTAATAGTATTTTACATTGCAAAGGAAGAGGCTAATAATCTCTAGGACTTCTCCACTCACCATTATTATGTAGTAGGATTTTATAAGATGGTCCAAGTATTTTTTAATGGTTACCATTAATAATAAAATTAGTTTTAGGACCAAAACAAAGGTAATTTTCCACCCTAGGCAAAGTTCTAAGCCTTCTGCAAAGACGGGAGTAAAATCCTCCATATATAAAAACTGTGGAATGTTTTCCACAGACTTTGGGTTGGTGTTATTCTGAACTAGACTCTCATCGCTCTCCCATCTCAGAAAATGTCCAGTTTACTTCAGGATGATCAGGGACTACCCTATGAAGTAGTTCTCCCCTCAGTAACTACTACTACTGAGATATGGACATTTCTTTGCATATAGAACTGTGGAGGGACCAGTCCCAAAGACTGGAAGTTTCTTCTGAGGACTATAGCCATTCATCTCATGGTTGTGTCTGATGCATAGACTGTTGTGATTCAATGTACACTGTTGAGCCCCAGGCCCCTGTAGAGCCCTTTCAGTGCTCTTTCAGCATTCCCTCTGTGTTAAACAAGGCCATTCGCCTAGACAGAGTTTAAATGGTATTTTTGACCTTCTGCTTTGCAGGTCAATTGCTTTGGCAGACTACTAACCTTTCTTCTGAGTGCAGATCAGTTATCAGTGTTTTCTGCAACATCCTCAAATTATCATTGAAAGATGTTGAGCTTGGAATTTTCTTACTTGCAATAGAGAAATAAAATCAGAAAACTTCTTTTTAATAGTAGAGTTAAAGTTTAGGAGACATAGTCACTATAAGGAAAATAAGTAAGTCTTTTACTTTTTAGCACAGTTTGACTCCCACAGGCACCCAAAACTGCGTTTTCTGATATTTTGGAAGAGTAGAAGCTTTGCCTTTGTGCTTGGAATTATTCAGCTGAGATAATTTTGTGAGCTCATTTGAAACCTATCTCTTCCTTAACAAAGTTCTCTTTTTCATGGCATTATTCACCTTTATATAGAGTTATTTCTTTATACGTCAAAACTATCTGGCTAAAATATATATCAATATATTCTAATATATATATAGAATGCATCAAAACCATGCATATATATATGAAACTACTGGTCTGCAAGATTTATATATTCTAATGTATGATGTTGATGCATTTTTTTCTTCACTGATCTGTTATAATCTCTTTTATGTCATTGGAGCTGAATAAATACTGGTTGAATGGATTAGGGAATGAATGAAAGAATGCATGTCCTCTTGCCATGGAAAAATGGAAAGGTGTTATGAAAATTATATAGTGCGATAGAAAGAGATAAGAACTGGTCTGTTTTACACTTCCAATTAATATTAAACACATTCTTAGAGGAAATATTCACAAATGTGGTTGTAAATGCAGTTTGTCTTCTCTTGTTTAGAAAACAATTTGTGTCTGCCCTTGTATGAAAGATCAGTGAAATCCTCAAAATTAAGCACTTAATGCTCATCAAATAGCAAACAAGGTCTGTAGCCTAGTAACCTTTGTCTGCATTGAAAGATTAGAAATGAAACTAAATGGTGATTCATGGAGACGGTGATTATGTGTTTCAGTTTATTCTAATGTATAAATGACACTTAAACCATGTTCTATAATTTGAAATTGATACATTATGGCTTTAAAAGGTTACTAACAGTAATCCGTATCAATCTCTGGCCCTTTCAGTAAATATCCAATGTTTAACTTAATAGCTTAATAATCTTTTCATACATTACTAGAGGGGCATGTTTGAGTTTAAATTGAAATAATTATGAAATTCACAAACTTGATTTAAGAATTGGGTCTGTCTAGAAATTAAAACTTGTAAGTCTTTTGTGAGCCTCTGGCTTAGCCACGAAGTACAGAATAAATTAACTAATTAGCAGGCATTCTAATAATAACTCCCAAGTTCAAAAGAGGGAAGAGAACAATGTATTACACATTATCTTTTTTTTTCCATAGGTTTTCAGGAATTTGAATTCAATAGTAGCTTTAATGAAATTGGCCATTGTGGGTTTATATCTGTTGGAGTGAAGTTATTATCTTAAAAACTACTCAGTCTTTTTACATATATATGCAGTATGCTACTATATAAATAATACCTTTCTTTTTGAAGTGATTTAAAAGAAAAATGATCCTACCTAGTTTAAGTCAATCCATTTTCTGAGTCCTTGGGGGAAATGATACAATTTCACATACCGTATTCCTGGAACACTAGTGTTCCACTAAAAAAGGATTCCATAATTAAACAAATTCTGTAAATACTAAATACCATTACCAATTGGAGAATCACAGTGCACATTAGTTCCTTTAACATTCACCGATAAATAAACTTATTTAACTTTGCTTAACCCAGAGTTTCCCAAACTCTTTTGAACCACTTGACCCTTCTTGATTCTGTATAAGCCTTTTTAACATTTCTTAGTATAGCAGGTTTCAGTGGAACAGAATTTGAATTAAGCAATAAAGAGTTGATCTTACACACTTGTTTTTGTATATTGTTTGTTATAGTTTGGTCTGCAAGTGTGACACAATGAGAGAAGATTCTGCTACCTGAGTATGAGAATGCAGACATTGAGTTCTAGGGTCTTCTCCATCTGATGAGTGGGCTCTACATCTGATCTCTGACATGCTTGCTGAAAAGCTGCCAAGGAGTACAGTAGGAGTTCTATGGTGTACATCATGATGAACACCATAGAACTGGAGAATGAAAATCACAAAGAAATATAACTTTTCTAATCTATGCCAGAATGCAATTTCTAAATCCAGGAAAGTATATTGGAATGAGAAAATGGTCTACAATTTGACTGAGGACTTGAGTTTTTGGTTTTTGGTAAGAGGATATCTTAAGCTATCAAAAATGCCTTCGCTGTTTTGTAGAAAGCTCATTCAGCATGTCAGACCAGAGTTCATGTGCCCAATCTTAGGTTTGGGGCAAAAGGTCACTATCTGTACTGCTTCCATTTCCTTATGATATACTTTTTTGTTAACCCTTTACAATCCAATTACTTTACTGTCCTGGAAGACTCTCACATAAGTATAATTTGTGAGGTGGAAGGTCTTTGGGTTTGCCATATGACACAGTTTCAATGAACTTTGACTGCATTGTCCAATCTGGAGCCTCTCAGATCTTGGCCCTTTCCTAAAAACAGGTTGTATTTGCCACAAATAACTATTTAGGTAATCTGCAAATCTCATGTATTAGTCTTTTGTTGAAAGTCAGTACAAGTTGTATGGTTTTCGTATGTCTATAAAATGCAAGGACAGTAAAATATAGAGTAGAATAAAGTGAGGGAAATTTACTTTCTCTCTCTCTCTCTATATATATATAGTTAAATAGCAAACTGCATGATCTTAATGAGGTAAGAATGTTGTCATGGACCCTACACTAACACACAAAGGAAAGCAACATAGGAGATAGATAGGGCTTCCTCCCCGGCTATTAGGCTGTGCCTTTTCAGAGCCTGTGCTGTAAATTCAGGCAATGCATTTGTCATCCACCTCCAAAGACTCAGTGAGTAGTATCAGCTCTGGCACCCAGGATATTTTGGATAGTGACAGATACCTTCTTTAAGCAGAGGGCAGGAGCAGTGTGTGCAATACCAGGCTAATTCTTGGCACTGGATTTAACAGTGATGAAGAGAGAGTGAAGACCTTTCATCAATCCATCTCTTGGCATCCAGCAATATTCATTTTATTGCTGTATAAATAATCAAAGCAGTGGCTTGCCTAGGAAGGTGTGTTATTTCTCATTTTGGCACACCTGAAAAAATCTCACCCAGCTCTCAGGGTCCCAGGCCTATGAATCAAATACTAACTAGGTCCAGCTGGACTGAACATTGTGCTTCATATGTATTTGAACACTCTCAGATGTGAACATGGATATCAGTTATCAATTATATTATTTTAGTCTTTGGCATGTTTTATATTTCTGTGGGATTAAACATCAGACTTTCCAACATGCTTGCCTTGATGGCTTCTGGTGCCTCTTCTGCTCCTCCCATCCTGCTGAGCCCTTGCACACTGCCCCTCATTGGATGCTTTCCTCTGGTTGCTCCTGAAGAGGGATATATCCCAAGATATGCAAATAATATTAAGCTACACTCTAAATGCAAGGATCAAGCTATTTTGGGGCTTTTACAAAGAATTATACAGAAAAGGAGAAGAGATCTGGATCAGAGTTACAGCACTGAAGTAATCATTATATGGGTGGATAGAAGAACCTATTAATATTAGGGTGGCTGAGATGGTTTCATGAATATAATAAATAAGAAGAAAGGCAAGGAGAGCCCTGGAGATCACATGCTTTGTGTGTGCACAATTAAGCAGGATTTTATATCGCTGATATTAAAAGAATAAGAAAGATTTAACTATTTCAGGAAGAATTTTCTTTAATGACTACTGTTGAAATAGTATCAGTAAACATTCCTTCCTGACTGATCAATCTTTTCTTCCAATAGAGGAGAATATGCCAGCATCTACACAAGACTGACAGTTACTTTGAAAATGTGCAAGAGACTAAAATGCCTTCCAGGATTTAAATTCTTGGGGATATTTCTGTGATGTTTATCAATTGATTGAAAGCAATTTTCATTTTGAAATAAATAATTATTGGAAATTTCACCTGTCAACAGAAAAGTAAACAAAGTAAAAAAAGCAATATTTTCGGGAGATGCACAGAAAAATTGCTTACTGCTGTCACAGTAATTTTCTTAAGTGCATGGCTCAGTCGTATTAGGTCTTTTTGGGTCTCTATTGATCATTAAAGGCTGGAACATTTAATAAATTAAACATGGCTTATGATATGAGTTTATCAAATGTTCTTAAAGAGAGTACGTAGAATCAGTTTGAAAACATACTTTCTGTAGTGCTTATTGTTTAGACTCTAGATGTATTATTTATAAGATCACATAAGTTTTAAAGCTCAGTTTATTATAGTCAACATTGATTTCTATGTTGTCATATCCTTGGCAATTTTTGCATCAATTCTCTGTATTTATTTTCTCAAATGTGGAAATTCCAATATTTAAAATTACAAGGAAGGAATTTTACACGTAGGTTTTTTTGAGTCATATGTTTTTTCACACATGGCTTAGCCTTGTTTCTAGCATATACTAAGTGATAAAAATAAATACTAAATGATTATGAAAAGTAGGACTTTATGCATTCTGGACTGAAAACAATGTATGGAAACATTCCCAAATATATACTCTAAGATGCAATGAAGGGTCCTAAAAGCTTCTGTGACCCTGCCTGTGTATATCATCCAGATCTCTTCCAGATGTTTAGAGCTCCCCCGGGTTTATGAAGAGAACCTGAAGGCAAAGTCAACAAATGTAGCTACTTTGTCTGTCCATCAAAGTACCCATTTATCACTCGGTCCACGATGAATTACAGCAGTCCCCTGTTATGTGCAGTTTTACTTTCTGTGATTTCAGTTACCTGTAGTCAACCACAGTCTGTAAATAGTAAATGGAACGTTTTAAAAATAAACACTTGATATGTTTTAAATTGTGCCTCATTCTAAGTAGCATGATAAAATCTCACACCATTCCACTCCATCCCACCTGGAACATGAATCCTCCCTTTGTCCAGCATGTCTACACTGAAGACTCACTACCTGCCCATTAGCCACATAGTCGCTGCTCAAGGATCAACTGTCATGGCATTGGAGTGCAGGTGCAAGTACTCTTGCACCCAAATAAAGGTCCATTTGACTTATAATGGCCCCAGAGTGCAAGAGTAGTGATACCAGCAGTTTGGACGTGCCAAAGACAAGTCAGAAAGTGTTTCCTTTAAGTAAAAAGGTCAAAGTTCTTGACTTAATAAGTTAAAAAAAACATATGCCGAGTTTTCTAAGATCTATGGTAAGAACAAACCTATCCATGAAATTGTGAATAGGGATAAAGAAATTTGCGTGTAGTATATATGGGGTTTGTATTATTTGAGATTTAAGGCATCCACTGTGGGTCTTAAAACACATCCCTCTTGCATATGGGGGAGCTACTATCAATATAGTGGCAAATAATGAGCCAATTGGGAACTGAATAGTGAAATGTTTACCTTGACCCCATGAAGTTTATAGTTTTATAGGGCACTCACATGCATTGAGGCAGTCATTATTAGGATAGTGAGTCTTTGGTAGTATTTTACTAATGAAGTATACAATAAGGGCATTTCACTTAGTCTGACTGGTCAAAGCGTTGGAGGTGGTATCTACAGAAGAAGTAAAATATATAATCTTGCCTTCAGTGAGATGAAAGAGTAGAACCTGTGTCACATCCTTCAGTTGTATAATACACAGGTTCATTACCTGCATTGCTCCTCCCAAGTCTTAATATATTCACTACATTACTGAGAAAGCTGGGTCAGAAGCTCCCTTCAGCCTGGCTTGGGGCTCAGTGGTTTTCCTTGTATAACTCTATTGTACAAAAAGATTGGCAAATGAAGTTCATTTGGTGTTATATATCCCGACTTACCCCAATCCATGTGGTAACTAAGCTACAGTACGGTCAGTTTGTGCACTTGCCCGCAGCACAAAAAAGAAAAGCTAAATTTATTTATTTATTGTGATCACCTTTATTCCTTAGTTTAGGTAGGGACTGTTTGTTTACTTCAATCCAACAATGTAATTCAGTTGAAAGCATTTTATTTTTTTCTATTTTCCAAAAACTTGAGTTTTTCAAATGACACAAACTCTAAAAATTAGAACCAGGACTGAGTAGAATCAATCGTACCTATTGAATCAATGAGTGATTTGGGAATTTGGCAGATGATTAAGATCTTCAAATGCTTATTCTTTATTCCTTTTGTTTTTCAAAGGGAAAGAAAAATACATGTGATTCAAAACTAGCTTGAATATCAAGGATACACCTTTGAAGTAATCTTTTAACAGGTTCAATTTATAGCATATAACAGTTGTGAATAGAAATCCATTTTATTTTATAAACTATTTAAATTATTTTAAGTGAATTCCTGTGGCTAAAGCCTTGTGTTTTGTACTTGCATTTGAACAGACAATATTTTAATGATAGTCATGGTGAACTTTATAGACATTTTTTGTGTTCTTAAACTTCCCCTTAGAGCCTCTCTGCATGCATTAGGATTAATTAGATAATGTCTCCCAGGTGCTTAGAGCTTTTTGGAGAAAGGGAACGAAGCATTGTGTTAAAATGATTATTACTGACTTCAAAGACAGTTACATGAGAGTTCAGAAAGAACAATTTTTTAATAATAGTGACTCATAAATGCCATTGAGATATAGCATTTTATGATGTTACCAGTGGCCATTTATTTTTGTTTTTTTAAATTATACTTTAAGTTTTAGGGTACATGTACACAACGTGCAGGTTTGTTACATATGTATAAATGTGCCATGTTGGTGTGCTGCACCCATTAACTCGTCATTTACATTAGGTATATCTCCTAATGCTATCCCTCCCCGCTCCCCCGACCCCACAACAGGCCCCGGGGTGTGATGTTCCCCTTCCTTTTAACAAGCCAATTACCTTCTTTCTTATTCCATTAAATTATCATAGGGAAGGATGTAGAGTTTGCAGTGCCAAGTTACAAGATGAGATGCAATGAATGGAGTCAAAATAATTTCATTGAATTGGTGAAGTTCATCAAAGGGGCATAGAATGATGTTATCCTTGGTCTCTCTAGAAGCATTGGGTTAGTGGTACCCAATAAAAGGCCAAAAGCAGATAAAAGTTTATCTAAGAATTTTGCTTCTTATCGGTTTCAAGAATAGAGGGTAGATGGAAGTGGTGCCACTAAAGGAGGAAACTCAAAGTAGTCAAAAGTGCCATGTGACAATTAATCACTAGTACCTCCTACAGACTGCCTGGGAGGGGCCAAGAAGCAGACTCCTGGACTAGGTGGTAGGTTATAGTCCATTTCTCTATAGGGTTTATTGAAAATGCAGCAATATCAACAATACTTTTAATAATGGTTATTTTGGTATAACACTTTAAATTTTACAGAATTTTCACACACGTATTATTTGACCCTCAGAACAACACTGTGAAGTAGGTGTTACTCTGACCATGTTATAGATGAAGAATCTGAGGCTCAAATAATTTACTGATGTTTTCAGAGATACGAAATTTATAAAAGACGTAGGAAGGATTGGAACCAAGCTTTTCTTATACCAGTGAGTGCTCATTTGTATACACAACTATGGGATGGTAGCTCCCCCTTGGGTAAGCTAGAACAAGTAGTAATGTGGGTGTGTGGAACTCTGTAGTTGATCTTACGACATGTTTTATGTTTATTATCCATTTATTTTCACTAACCTCTTCCTGATGATATTAACCAAACCTCGAATTTACAAGAAAGTCTTCTTTTCCAAGTGTGTTTCAACTGCCTTTCATTGTACCTACTCAATACTACTCTGTTGTTGTATAAAGGACCACCTGATAGAAAAGCTACAGAAATGAATAAAATGAAAAAATGAGTAAAACACTTTTGTCCAAAAGTACAACAATATAAGCTTCACAACAAAAGCTATACCAAAAGAATAAGGTGTTTGTATGAGGAACTATGGGGGATGGCAGAATATGGCAAATACCCTCAGTTATCTTACCAAAACAAGTACTTAAAGGTATTCAAAGAGTGGTAGAGGTCATTTTCAGTTAGCATCTGGATGAAGAAAGTCAGGGGACAAAAAGTCTTGTATTAGAGGGCATATGTGAGACAGATGTTTATCTGCAGGGTTTAACTCTTTTGGTTAATCTCTACTCCAGTGGTCTGAATGTAGGAAATAGAAAAGGATAAGCAAGTGAAGACTCAGAAATTCCAATGGAGGCCAACTGAAAAGAGAGGGAGAGTACGGGATGGAGAGAAGGTGAGGGGGCATAAAATGGAATGGGTAGAGATGTGGATGAGGGAGGAAGAAGTTAAATGGCTAAGGTGTGGTAAGAAGCAATTATAATTAACTTTTAAATTTTATTTTATTATTATATTTTAACTTATATTTTAATTTCAGGGGTCAATGTGCAGGATTGTTACATAGGCAAACTTGCATCATGGGAGTTTGTTGCACAGATTATTTCATCACCCAGGTATTCAGCCTAATACCCGTTAGTTATTTTTCCTGATCCTCTCTTAAAATTTAACATCTGGGGTGGGGGCCTACAATGTGTGCGACAATACAATAAGCAAGTGAAAATGCCAAACTAGAGGAGAAAGCTCACAGCTCCAGAGGTGAGGTGGAAAACGGTTGAAAGGAAAAAATTGAATACATTGTTAATCACACATCTCTTCTTTGTCTGTGACATCAGCATTTGCTAAGCATTAAACACCACCTGTCTTAAACCTCGGCAACAGGCTGTTTGCTATACCTCCATAGGCATAGGTAGAATCACTACATTATTAAGTTCCCAAAGTCCTTGTCAAAGACAATTTATGATTCTGGCAGCCCCCAAGGAGAGGCAGTTTTCTTATCTTGTTTAAGCAGTGCTCTCTGCTTAATCCTTTCTGTGTTTCTAATGCACAAGAAGAGCTAGTTTCCTAAGGAGTGGATTTGGTCCACTCAATTTTTAGATAATTTTTCCTTCTGGAAACAGTCTCCTTTCTGTGGTAATGTTTGAAATGGGTGCAGGAATGAGAATTTTAGATTGTTTCTAAAAGGCTTGAGGAGGAAAAACATATATATCCAAGAATCATTAAGTTTTGAATCTGGATTAGTCTGACAGTTACAAGGTTCTAGGACTGGTGAGTTCATTGTGTTACAATTGTTACCCATACAAATTTCAAGGTCCCTGAGACTGGTGAGAACAACAGTAAGACTGATGATTAAAAATTTAAAACTATTGGAAGATGGTACAGTCTATGAGTATAAGGAAGGGAAGAAAGTAGTTAATAAATTGATTGCATGAATAGAAACAATGAATATTTCTATCTGGTAAAGCATTTTATATGTATTATCTATGTCATCTTCACAACAGTACTTCAAAGAAAAGTCATAGTGAGAGTCATTGGAATTTGGATAAAATCAAATTAGGTGTAGGTGGGGAGATAAGTTTCAGTCCCAGGTCTTCTGATGCAAAGGCTTGTTTTTCTTTCATTTTACATTACCTCTTTAGTAAGTTACCAAGAGAACAAAGGTGGGAGATCAAGTAATGAGTTTCTGCTGTGTCATTGCACTGGCACACTGATAGAGAAAGCCTGACAGTGTAAAATAGGACAGAGTAGGTGAAATAAGTGGTTGGAAATGGTAGGATATATGCCTAAGGCTATAACAGCAGACATCAGGACAGCATTGAGAATTGGACCAAGGGCCTAAGCAAACACATTTCATTTTACAAGTTTTACTCAGGCAGTACCTATTAAATATTGGTGAGTGTATTGCAAGAGTATTCCTGGAATCTTCTTGGACTAATAATATTAAACATGTCAATAATGTTATTCGAACAAATGATCAAGCTAGGGAAATAGCACTTCCATGGTATTGGCCAGCTTCCTCTCTTCCCCCTCACTCTAGCCATAGAGTCAGAATGGGAGATTTATCTCTTAGCATGACTCTGATTTCCTGATCAGAGATCAGCAAAGGAAGGAGTGGGCCCCTTAGCCATTGTGGGCAACTCCTAGAAAAACACACACATACACCCCTAGGCATTCCTTTCAGGTTGCCGGAGACAGGATGGAAGATGTGGGGAAGGAGTCCTTGCTACATTCAGGTCCCTAGTTTGAGGGATTTGGCTTTGTTACTGCCCTTCCTCTGGCTTGGTTAGATTAATCAACACTTCCCAAAGGTTCTATCACTTATGATTAAAAGTACCCTGACTTATATAATGACCAAAGAATTTCTGGATGGAATATTTCAATATAATTCAAAGGTAAATGATCTTTGTTAATTTCCTATTGGATATGTGTTTCAGCCAGAATGAATAATTTACATATTTGATTAAATTCAGGTAAAATGTATTTCAAATACTATATCACCTAGATTGTCTTATATATTGCTCATATTTTAAATATCTGCCTCCTGAACAGAATTTTGGGGTTTTCATCATAGGGAAGTTAGATAAACAACTTATATTCTAAATTCCACAGATTTTGGTAATCCTTTCCCCGTAAAATAAATACCACTGCATTTAGTTGCTTTCTTATGAAATTACAAAAGGCAGCATAAAACGAATGCATAATTTTAAATATAATAGCTCTATGAGAGTATTGAATAAGTAATATTTTCTTTTCAGATACTAGTACCCTGGGATCTTTTAAATAAGAAAAACAATAATACTTTTATCATAGACTGAAAAACTGTTACTCTTAAAGATTGAAATTAAAAATGGTAAGGTGATTTGAGAGTTAGATGGAAGCTATTTAGTTCCTTGTTTTTTCTAATTACACACTGCTTTTTTAAACTCAGCAAGACAGTTTACCTTTAGATGAACTCCATTCTTTTGTCCTCAGAGACTAGACATTTATGAAAACTAGGAACAAGGGTCCCCTTAGTTAAGTCATGGCAGCTCTGGGTGGAATTCCTGATTATTGGGTAATTGTGCAACTCTAGAATAACACAGAACAGTTCATCACTGTGACCTTCAAGCCCAGGAGAAAATTATAGCACAATGTGGAACATTTTCTCCCATTTAGATTGACTTTAAAAAATCACTCTCCTAGTTGCCAGTTGCAGAAATTAACAAAAATGTGCATTATTTGTATGTATTTTAGGAAATAAATGCCAGAAAATGGGATATTCAAAAAGGTAAGGCAATAGGAATAGGTTCAAGCACCTTAAACTACATGACCAGATGTGGTGAGATTTAACTAAAATGGTTGAATTTGTCTTTCATTTGGTATTAATTTGTTTTCTAGCCAATACCTTTTCTCCTATCTCCAGAGAGCAGAATAACTGTCTAAGTATAGCATTTGCTATGTTCTGATTTTGCATGCCTGCTCTCTTAATTCCAGGTGAGCTGATCGATTGCCCACATTTCTGCAAGTACCAGGACAAATCCTATGCCTAAACACAATCTTGCAGTAGATTTGGCTGAGCAATGCAGGGTAATAAAAGTAATGAGGCCATTGAAATCCCTTTAGCTTTGTGCTGATGCCTGGAAACTGTCATTTATTTTGTAGTGCCTTTAATTGAGAGAGGTTTTTTTTTTTTAATTCCACACAGTAATTGGTACTACATTTTTTTCTCATATAAAAAATAATAAAGCTATATATCTTGCTTCCTGACTCTTATCAAGCATTGGTAGTTTTTGATGTACAAAATATTTTATTTTTATTTATTTTGGTATTCTTGTCACAAAAAAAACTTAAAGATATTCTTTGATATAGCCAAAAAGAAAAAAAAAGATAAAGGCCAGTTCTTGTGACATTTATATGCATGAAAAATTGCAAACCTACCTCCTTCAACTCAGAAATATTCCACTCTTTGCAGTGCATAACACAGACTCTCTAAATATAGGTGAATAATAAATGTGCATCATTAATAATTAATAGGATTGTAACAAAATACAGTATCAGCATAATCTTCTAAGACATTAATGGCTACACGTTGCCACTTTAAATAATAGCATGAAAGGCAATGGTGCTCTCTGATATGGATTTGCTATGGTAAATGAGTTTGTGTTACTGTATATATTTTGTTCTACATACTGAGTTATCAATAATCATCTTCATGCCTCTCAAACGGTCGCACAAGCAGGAAAGGAATAATTGCTACTCTTCATGGAGCCAGCTTATTGATGAGGTGGACACAAGTAATATTTTTAGCCTGCTGGCTGTCCATCTGTAAGGAGTTTCCTGGAGCTGTCACTTCTCCTTTCTCTGGAAACTGTTATGGCTTTGTCTGCCCAAGGGAAATAATGAGATCCATCTATCAAGAAAAAAATAAACAATAAACTCTATACCTTCCAATTAATTTGTTTTCACCTATGTTTACCCAGGTGCATTCAGTTAACCATCCATCATGTTCTATGCATGTAAAGAAGTGCATTTTTCAAAAGGTTGAATCCATTAACCCATTTGCTAAGTAAATATATAGGCACCCTTTATAGCTAAATCAGGGACTTGTAAAAATCAATCTTTTTGGAGAGCTCATAAACTCTAGCTCTGTCTTCCCTAGCATGCCCAGTGTTGATAAATCTGCAAGCTTAATGTGAACCAAACAGGTTGTTCTCATTCATCCCTCCAACTACATGTATGTTTCTTTTTAAATTTGTCTTTGATTTTAATGCCACCCTAACATTTTCAGAAATTGGTTGAATGCACAACTTAAATCCGCAGCTTCAATTTGATTAAGAATTTGTTAACAACAATTTAGTGGGAAATGGTAGTGTATATCAGCAATCAAATGGCATCTTTTTCTCCTTCTCCATTAAAAAGTATATATTTTTCGAAATAGAAGACACTAAAAAAATGACTCAGGCAGTAATTTGTTCATAGGATTTTGCTGACATTTATAAACTATTTGAGCTTTACTGCTGCCTTGTTGCTGGCAAGAAGCGTCAGCAGTGGAAGTGTTCCTGGAGTTAAATGCCCTCCTCTTTTTTTTTTTTTAATCCATCTGTACTATCAAAATAGACAGCCACTGTTAAATAAACACTTGTCAAATGCTTTAAAACCATGAAGAATTGTGGCAGAGTATGCTCAAAGTCCCCAATTTAAAAACAACCAGTGTTCCAGGACTTCATTTGTAAAGAGAGTTGTTTGAAATATAGAACCTAAAATCCTCAAAATGGTGGTAAAATGCCCAGTTTAATGCACTAGGAGTATAGAGTATCAGAGATTTAAGATTATGGAGTGACTTACCCAGTTCTTGCTTAACTCAACCATTTGTTACAGATATAAGGAAAAAGAAAATTAGGTATTTGCTCACAAGACAACTGCAAAGAAAACAGCAGTTGTAATCGTGATTGTTTAAACAGGAACACAATGAGATTAGATAATAGTTATATTTCTACCTAGAAAGCTAGTACTTAGAGAGAAAACAGGTTTCCTTAGAGAAATATGAAGGAAATAATTGTGTTTAGGAACTCTGAAGAAAACTTCTAGAAATGTTTAGTGACTGTAGAAATTGAAAGCATTGTTTATTATGTGACATTTAAGTTTTGTTTTTTTTTTTTTTTTCGGTTTTAGGCATATAACTCAGTTATAATTTCTATAGAGAATGAGAAAAAGCTTATAGAAAAAGCAAGAGGGAGTCATGAGGAAAGAAAGAAAGGCTAAAAATATACAATAATTAGAAAAATTATATGAAGAAAGAATGCCCATCAGAAGCGTGAGAGTGAAAGTATATTGTGAGATTATTTAGCAATGAGTCTAGCAAATTTAGCCATCTATTAGTTCAGAGACATTGGACAAGTTCCTGACACTCTTAAGCTTCTTAGAGTTCCGTATGCCTCTGTTTCTTCATTGCAAAACACATCCAATATTAGTAGGCACCTCATAGGCTTGTTGTAAGGATTTCTGGGCACATTGCTTGCCCTCAATAAATGTTACTTATAATAGTCAACATCTAATTCATGGTTAAATGGGTGGTCAGAAAACAACAACTGGAGAGCCACACTCAGTCACCTGTTTTTTGTATGACCCTTGAGCTAAGAATGGTTTTTATATTTTAAATGAATGGAAGAAAGAGAAAAATAATATTTTGTGACACATTAAAATGATATGAAAGTCTATTTTAGTATTCATAAATAAGTTATGTCAGAACATAGCCTGCTCACTCATTTGCATATTGTCTCTGGCTGCTTTCTTGCTACCGTGGCGAAGTTTGCTGTCTGTCCTGCAAAATCTAAAATATGTGCTTTCTGTTCCTTTACAGGAAAAGTTTGGCACCCCCTGGTTTAACAGGACACATTTGAGGGTGAATGAGGGTACTATTAATAATAAGTTAGGACAACAGGCATAAGCTGAGAATATATTGGGCAAGCCAGTAGGTTTGATCACCCTCCATATATTATGCACAAGAAGAAATAAACATATTAGAATGGAAAGTGGTAAAAAAAAAACTGACAAAGAAAAGGGAGCATTTTGTGCAAATGACTGCAACTAGGAAAATTTGTTAAAGTGTAAGTCTTACGTTTTATCTCCTTGTGTTAAATCCACTATCAATACCAAGCACAAGTAGAATAATATCCAGACCCATTCTCTACAAGCTTCTATGTAATCCCATCCTTACTTATGTCTTGGGCACCTTCTCGGACAGCTTTCTCCTTTGTTCGGTTATGCTATAGTCACACTCACTTTTCTGTTCCAATAAGATACCAAGCTGGTCACTATCTTAGGACCTTTGCAAGGCTCCCTACCTGTAATGCTCTTAACAGACTTTAAAGTCTGACCCTTCACCTTATCTAACCCTTACACCTGTCACCATCCTCCCTTCCATTATCCCATCTTATTATCTCTTTAGAACTGTCGCTCTCAGAAGCGTAGAACCTAAGCTCCACAATAGCAGGGATTTTTGTGTGCATAGTGCCTACTACAGTTCCTGGCACAGAGTGGATATTCAGCACATGTGAATGCATCCGCCTGACTCTGTTGTATTATTGCCACTCCTTTTGTGTCGAGTGCTTCAGAGGTTCCATCCACTGCTCTTCACATCCTGAGCTTCCATTTGGTCTTTGGCTCTAGGTTGGCAGTTCAGCATTCATACAAATTTTAGTCTTGATCTCTGCTCTAAATGGACTCTCTGGGTACAGAATGTGACATCTCTTTGTTTTTTTCCTCCCATTTTCACATTTTGCTCCTATTATCTTTGCTTATTTGTGTCTAGAGCTAAGCAGCCCTTTTCTGTCATGGTGTTCATTATTTTATATTCTTCATATAATGGAGAAGCAGAGTACCTTGTGAAACAAATAGTTTCCTTGTAGCTTATGCTGCATTGTTTTCAATTTTTTTGTCTATGAGTGTTTCCAAAGTTCGAGTATGAACTACTTGTGGGCAGAGGCCATATCTTTTAAACTGTATTTCTTTGTACTTAGTACAACATCAGAGCAGGCAAGGATGTGCTCTCGAGAAATATCCCTGAATGAGGAGTATGGTTAACTCCACTGCTGTGTGGGCTAATGGACCAAGCATCAGAAGAGACAATCACAATCACATTTGGCTTTCAGAGACACCTTGATCCTGTTATGCCTAGGGCCTATGCCAGTCACAGGTGTATTTTATTGGCATTTTCGTAGGTGCTTGATTTGCACTCTCAGAGCACGTGTAAACCAGCCTGAATCAAATTAGCCTCTATGCAGTTGTTAACAATTGATTGCAGAGCCTGAGAAAAGAGGAAAAGTTTCTTGTATATACCACGTCCTCCACCCAGCTAGGATTGAAGCTGCATAGAAAAGAGAGGAGAAGCATAAAAAAGCACAGGTTGGGGCAGTGAAGTCTCATCCAGCCTTAGCAGATACAAGCAGAAAGCCTGTGTTCCATTTTGTACACATTTAGAAGTTCAGCTTAACTTCACAGTTTCCAGAAACAGAACTGGAACACCGTTCGCCAAAATGTAAGTTATGTCTGCCATGTTTAACATATTTGCTATAAATCCATTGCCTTGAATAGTAGAGAATATTTATTGCATGAAAGGATAACTTTTTCCTTGTTTGCTTACTCATCTAGTAAAGTTTAGCAGACTAGGTACAACTTAAATTTCATCGTCAGTGTTTAATTATAAAACTTTAAGGTACAGCTTTAAAAAATATAAAACAATAGAAAAATTGGAAAATATGCAACACAATGTTCTTTCTGTGATATTGTCAAATGCTTTGGCATAAAAATATTCAGCCACTAAAAATAAAATGTCATCCAGCAATGGAAAAATACTACAATACGAGAAAAAATGATGGATAAAAAAAGAGCATTGCTATAATGATTAATGATAATATGGCTTTTTATTTTAAGTACATGCAGTTTAGGAGAAAGCTTTCAGCATGTATAACATGTTGAAAATAAGTGTTCATGTGATTTGATCAAAGGGCTCCAATCTCTGAGAGACAGTAAATAATACAGTATTTAGGAAATTGCTTTAAATATTTATTTCTCTGATTGGCTAAGATTGCTCACAAATTGCAGCATGTTTTGGATATTGTAAAAGCAAGTCTGAATAACACATGCATCTTGAAGATAAATAGGAGTACACCACCATATATGTGCTGGAGTTGGGGAAAATATTCTCAGTAATAATGACATTCTCAAAGGTGTTTTTAATGATTGACTCCTAAACAGTTTACAATGTTATTATATAATCTTTTTTATTAACCCTTACAGCTATTTTATGGGAAAGGTGGGAAGCAAGGTATCTTTTCAAAACTTTCTCAAAAAGTCTTCAATTTTTCTCTTTCTCTATATTTTTATCAAAAATTAGACAATGCATGTGATTCTGTAGGGGGATTCCATTTGAGATGTAATTTAAATGATGGAAACTTTCTTACACTATGAGTGTCTTATGAAAAGGCAAGAAGTCTTGGTATTCAAAGAGAGTAAATGCAGAACTGTTCAAATATTCCTTCCCTCTCTACCCTTTTGATCCTGTCATGTTTTAACAATTTTTAAAGGTGATTTAAACATTGGGGGATGCACTACCCCTAAGCACTGTCTGTTTTTAGAGTACTCATACTGCTTAGCAACCTTTGACAATAAGCCATACCAAAGAAGAGATCTAGTATGAAAATCTCAGAAGTGAGTCCACAAATACACATCAAAAATAGTAATCTCCAGAGCTTTTAAAAAATACTTTTTCACGTAAGAAAACTTAGAAATGATATCTGTAATTAATCCTTGCCCTTTAAAAAATGTTCTTCATTGATTTATCATTCTTAAGATGAGCAAAGTAGAGCTAGAGATAAGAGAATGGAGAAAATAACAAAGAAAAAGAATGTGTGTTTTAACACAAACGTGGTGCAGAAACTGAGATATCTTTAGCAATGGGAACATTTTTCTACCAACCAAATAAAACCAATGTTATACTTTTAAAACCGTTTCTTTCAATCTGTTGCTCAAGTAGGCTTGTTCATTACAATGATACGTAAATATAAATAAAAACTTAAGTATAAACGTGAAATTTGCTAACCTATTTTTTTCAATTAAGTTTATGGCCTACATTGTTTTGTATATTTAATATAGTGTTTAAGATTAAGAACATAATGTTTTAGCATACCTTCTTAATGATGGAAATACCATTTATTGTTATATAAACCCCCAGTATAGGACATTTTGTTGATATTATAAATATTGTGACAATGAGTAGCTTCATGTCTGCGCATTTGCTTATGTCTCAAAAATATTTTATATTTCCCTAGAATAGAGTTCCAGGAATAGCTGATTTCAGTTTTTGTTGTTGTTATTGTTGTTGTTATTTTGAGACAGGATCTCACTCTGTTGCCCAGGCTGGAATGCAGTGGCACGAGCATGGCTCACTTCAGCCTTGACCTCCCAGGCTCAGGTGATCCTCCCACCTTAGCTTCCTGGGTAGCTGGGATGACAGGCATGCAGCAGCACGCCTGACTAATCTTTGTATTTTTTGTAGAGACAGGGTATTGCCATGTTGTCCAGGCTGGGCTCAAACGATACACCTGCCTCAGCCTCTCAAAGTGTTGGGATACAGGCGTGAGCCACCATATCTGGCCAGATTATTGGTAGTGAATCCTCTCTATGACTTTTGACTGATAATTCCAATTTCTATTCCAAAATAATTTTTATCATTGGCAGTGTGTGATAGTACATACTTAGTGGGTTTCTCTATGGTAGGCACTCTTGTGAATGAACTTTTATGTAAATTAGCACATTTAATTCTCAGAACAATTTTTAAGATATTTGGTATTATCAGGCTGGGCGCGGTGGCTCACGCCTGTAATCCCAGCAATTTGGTAGGCCAAGGAGGGTGGATCACGAGGTCAGGAGTTCAAGACCAGCCTGGCCATCTCTACTAAAATTACTAAAATTACAAAAATTCGCCCGGCATGCTGATGGGTTCCTGTAATCCCAGCTACTTGGGAGGCTGAGACAGAGAATTGCTTGAACCTGGGAGGCGGAGGTTGCAGTGAGCCGAGATCATGCCACTGCACTCCAGCCTGGGCAACACAGTGAGACTCCATCTCAAAAAAAAAATTATATATATATATCTATCTGGTATTATTCTCATTATGGAAAAAAATTAAAGACTTGAATTTCAAGAAATTGAACTCCAGAGATGAGATGTAACTGGCCCAAGGACACACAATTAATAAGTAGTAATCAAAGTACTATGTTTTATGTCTTCCTTAATATTAGACAAAATAAAGATCATTTTGTGAAGTTAACAGGGGAATAATAGCTCTATGTTGTTTAAATCTCATTTAATTAAATGATTTAATTTAGTCATTGATCACTGATGAGACTACTAGTTCTTTCAATCTTTCTTTCTTTCACCTTCTCTTTTTTCTACTGGATTAGGTACTTACCTCATGAATTTGTTGTGGGGAGTAGAATTAATATATGTAAAGGATTAGCCCAGTGGCAAGCATGGTCATTTAGCTATTCAATGAATGATAGCTTTTAATACTCTTATTTTTAGCTAGTTACTGAGAGGGTTCAGACAAAAATCCAGAACTATATATTTGGTTTAGTAATTTTTTCTGTTATATAAATCTTTTTCTCATTATAAAGGAAATCAATCCTAATTTAGTATATTTATTTGAATATATAATTGCTCCTAGAAGTAGCACAAACTGACATAATTAAATGTGATTTCAGGAATGGAATTGAGCAGTATTATAAACTGTTTAAATCTTTCATCCCTGGCAATAAAAATATATTTTAGCACACAATGCAAATATATGTGTAGTTATTTATACTGTACTAACATATTTTATACTTATAAAACATATAATTTTTTTTTTTTTTGAGACGGAGTCTCACTCTGTCGCCCAGGCTGGAGTGCAGTGGTACTATCTCAGTTCAATGCATGCTCTGCCTCCCGGGTTCACACCATTCTCCTGCCTCAGCCTCCCGAGTAGCTGGGACTACAGGTGCCTGCCACCATGCCCGGCTAATTTTTTATATTTCTTAGTATAGACTGGGTTTCACCATGTTAGCCAGGATGTTCTCGATTTCCTGACCTTGTCATCCGCCCACCTCAGCCTCCCAAAGTTAAAACATATAATGTTAACTTACATTATTTACATATGATTACAGATTATTCACATATAGAGTAATATTTTAAATACTTTTCTTATTTGCAAATATTACAAAAATATTTGTGCTTTTGCTAAAAAAATGTGAAATTTTGTTTTGGGAATAACCATATTAAATGTGATTAGATAGTCACAATTTTTACCTTGTATTCTGGCTGGCAAGTCACTCCTAACCTCCCAGTTTCTGTTTCATTTGCTTTACTTATATTACTTTCATTCTGTGGGTTTTTTTTTTCCAGAAACATTTTAGGCCATTTTTGAGGGTGAGATTAGTTAAAACTAGAAAACAAAATCTCCAGATCTATTTCTCTAGGCAACGGTAAACTGAAAGATGTCCAGATATGCTAGACTTTAAGAAATCCACTCTTTTCTCAAGGTATCTGTATGTGGTAACATTTGACATCTGGGCCAAGTGAACAATGCCAATTTAGATATGAATAATATATAATTATAGTGTCGTTTTTGTTTTAACTATTAGCCACTAACAGCTTGCAACAGTTTCCAGTGTTAGCAGCCTAGGAAGAAAAATACTCTTTTATCTTGTTTTCTGTTTATTGCATTCTCTGCTACCTCTCTTTCAGGTTTTATAAGAGGGTATTTATGGCTGTTGCACCTGTGACTTTGGTTGTTCCTGCTGGGTTATCTGCCTGGTTTCAACCAATTAGTTGTCTATCTCTGGGCTTGAATCTGGAGGTTTATCTATATCTTCAATGTGTAGTAGGCCCTGGTACTGAGTTAGCTGTTCTCTTTCAATGAACAGAAGAGTGGACCATGAAAATCCCACAGATTGACTTTTATGTGTTCATATTTTCTGTCGTCCCACAAGCACTTTTTCTCACAATGTAACACAAAGTACAGCCTCTTGTTTCCACAAAGGTAAAGATTTTCACAGTATTTCATTTAGCTTTCTAATCTAACGCACCTGCTTTCTCTTTTCTTCATCTATCAGAAAATTACACACACACACACACACACACACACAACACTCAACAAACTGAAAAGGTCCAGTGATTCCACTTGATTTATTAAAATATGCACTCACTAGCTGCCTTTCCATATGTGACATGCACGCACTGCAGTTCCCGCTTACCCAGGCCTATGAAATGCTAACCCTGTGCTACAGTCTGAATGTGTCCCCCAAAATTCATATGTTGAAACTTATTGATAGTATTAGATGGTGGTGCCTTCAGGAAGTTATTCACTCATGGGACAGAGCCCTCATGAATAGGATTAGTACCCTTATAAAAGAGATGTGAGGGAGCTATTCGCCTCTCTGCCATGTGAGAACACAGTGTTCCTCCCATTTTGCCCTATTTCTGCCATGTGAGGATGCAACAAGAAAGCCCTCACCAGACACCAAAAGTTGGTGCCTTGATCTTGCACTTCCCAGCCTCCAGAACGGTAAGAAATAAATTTCTATTGTTTATAGATTACCCTGTCTCAGGTATTTTTAAAGGAGCACAAATGGATAAGACAAACTGTCTCTTCCATTGTATGTGCAGTATTTCTCTGTTTCACTGGGATGTTATTTATACACAGTTGCATATTTCTTCTTTTTAAATTCTCACACTTATAATATTTTAAATACCAAACATGTAATTAAAACTGCTTCTGTTGTCTCTATTAACATGATAAATATGTGTATCCATAATATATACACACGTAGCTATAGATACATAATCTACAGTTATATACATAACTGCATTTCTCAAGTGCATGAATGTCTAGATGGGGAGATTAAAGAGAAGGAAGTGGGGAACAACATAAGTCAAGCTAGAGATGGCTTAATTTTGTGCCATTTGCACCTCTGCACAATCTCAACTTTTTGACCACTATCTCCAGGTCTCAGGAGAGACCTGGCTATCTAAAATATATCCAGGAGAGACCTGGAGAGACCCAGATATATAAAATATTTACCTCATTGAGAATTATGTATAAGGGTTAACTTCTTAGTCTGTTAACTTCTTAGTCTCTCCCTTTTTAGAATTTTTCTTTTTCCAAATTATAGATATATTTTGAGCCTACTGATAATTACATTCATATTTCTGTTTCCTGAGCCATGTTATCAAGCATTGCACCCATTTTGTTCTCCTCTGCCATTTGTTGTGTCTCTTCTCCTTTTCTGGTTGTGGCTCCTGACTGCACTGGCAGGAATATGCACAGCTTTAGCTAATTAATTGCTTCTGCAGAGCAGTAAAGTATACTTACCTAGAGTGCACTTCCAGAAGGCACTATAGAGTTATTGGAAAAGAGTTATGGATCTTGATTCATAGCTCATATATGCATATGCACATTAGAATTAGAATTTAGTCTTTAAAAATAGCATGCTAATGACCTCTCAGCAATAAATAGGTCCTGAGACCATTATAAATTTGAGAACTAGAAAAGGCAGGGATTAATTGTAAAAATAAAATTATAACATATGATTCAGCCATATGTGTTTTTATGTAAAAAGCTTGTTATTTAGAATAGGCTTCCTTTTGCTTCTGTAACCACTCTAATAAACAGGAATGCATATAATCCTTTTAGTGCAGAGCATATTCTAAGGATACTATCTCAAAACACATTGATGCAATTTGAAAGTATATTTCAATTTGCTGCGTTTGTGTGTGTGTGTGTGTGTGTGTGTGTGTGTGTGTGTTAAAAGCAGCAAATACTCAAACTCCCAGCTTGAGACTATCTTAAATGCAGTATGTTTTTATTCGTCAATCTAACGCAGCTTTCTTAGGCCAGAAGAGAATATCCTCTCTTTGGCTGACATGTGAAATGTGACAGAGGTATCTTGTAATGGGCATTTTCCAAGAGCATCACATGGTAGGTTTCTCCCTAGATTTTAAACCTGTTTTCGTGTCTGCTACTCAGTTCCTTTTAGGCTCTTCCAAGTTCTTCTCTCTGGAGTCTGAAGCAGGCTACAGAACAGGTGGGACATTAGTGTGACAGCTGGGCACCCTTCCTAGAACAGACCCAGCATGGATAACATTATGTTTGAATCACATATCTCTCTCGTACTCAACCCTCTCTAAGAAAAACACTGGTGTGGGAAGCATGATATCTCATCACTTTGTGGAGACAGTTCTCCTACGTCTGTCTATATTTATTTCTTTTGTTCCTGCCCTTCCTTTTCACTCCACAGTATTTCCTTTTTTTGACCACATTCCATTATGAGAAACCCTGATTCTCATAGCACCTCACTTGGACGGACTCATATGACAGCAGAATAAATGCCAGAAATAGAAGTCTGAGGACCAGATATCTAATTACCACATTACAATAAGAATCTCTCAAATGAAACAGAACACAAAAACACTTTGTACTGAAATGTATTTGTTGAGCATTTCTCACAATGAAGCTCTCAAGTTATTGTTTTTTGAATAGCAAGGCCTTAGGTTGTATTCAATTTCTCTGTGTGGTATAGTGGTAAAACATCAGTATGATAATATACTACCCCTGGTTTCAAATCTTCATTCTGCTACTGACTAGATATGTTTTGTCTTGAACGTACAAATTCCCCAGTTATAATCCAAGAATGATGACTTCACAGGGCAAATGTGTGGATTAAATTAAATCCATCCATTTAGCAAATATGTATTGGGCACCTATTTTATGGCAGGCATGTGCATGTAAGTGTTAGAGGTAGAAATGAGAAACAAAGCAAAATCTAGTGAGGGAAATGGGCATATAAGGAGAGAATGACAGTAGTGTATACCCAGCACTGTTCTAAAAGCATCACATCTACTAACTCATGTAATCCATAATATAACTTTATGAAATCAGTACTACTCTGTTTATTTATGGAAGAACTGAGGTATGTAGAGTTTTAATAACTTAAGTTTATGTAGTTAGTAAGTGGAAGATCTAGGATAAAAACCTAAGCAGTCTGGTTCCACTACCCAACCTCTTAACCACACTATTAATAATAATGTACTAGAAACAAATAAATGAGAAAGTAAAAGAAGTTTGTTTTAGTAGCTCTTGAGTTAGAGAAGATGATATAATGTATAATACACTCACTCATTATTCATTTCAATAAATGTTTGTTCCTATTTTTTGGTGTCATTGAGATCACATGTAATATTTTACATTTTGATGAAAGACATAAAATAATCTAGGCAACTCTATTTCAGCCAATGATTATATGACTTTTTTTTTTGAGACAAGGTCTTACTCTGTCACCCAGGCTGAAGTGTAGTGGCACAATCATGGCTCACTGCAGCCTCCAATTTCTGGCCTCAAGTGAGCCTTCCAACTCAGCCTCTTGAGTAGCTGGGACTACGGGCATGGTTCATTTGTACATTTCATTAACGTACTCCAGACATGTGCATGTTCCATCTTTGCTTGTATTTTGAGGAGCTATAGGAGAGCCTAGCCGTGGCTAGCAGAGCAAGTAGTTGGGTTGGTGGACATGGGCAGTGTTGAATAATCTTTTTCAGCCTAAGAAAAATGTTCTACTGCCCTCTGAGCTTCTGAATTTATTTTGAAGGATAATTTAATTATAAAAACGGGGAAGGGAACCAGCAACCACCGTAACTACACCATATGTCTTTTGAAGAGCGATATGCCTGGAAATCCAGCGATAAGAAAAGAAGTCCTTTCCCAAGAAGGGGCCTTCTGAGAGATGAGGAGTGGATGGTAGACTCTCGAGCACAGGTCATCTGTTTGCATCAGCCTCAGAATATCTTAGAGTAGAATCCTTAGCTGATTGGTCAGGTTTTGCTCTTGCAGGTACTCCTCAAAACATTTTAGCTCCTGTCAGACAAAGATCACAATTTTTTTTGTTTCCTTTTTAAAGTCTATTCCGTACAGGGATCACTACATTTTGAAAACCTCTTTGGTTATCTGTTCATTCCAGGAATTCTGAGTAACCATTCTGTGAACAGTTGCCCAACATATCATGTTTCTGTATTTTACTTCATATGGCATTTCATCTTTATCACTCAGGTTCTATTAAACTTTATTACCTCTTTTTTTAACATTTTCTCTTAGAAATTGTTCACAGTCAACTCAATTCTATGGAGCAGTCACCTAGCAAGAGTTCTGCATGTGAGCATATCTTCATTAGAATTGTCAGTTAAAAATCCCTGATTTCAGGAGAATGCTGAGTGAGAGGCTGGGCTATTGGCTGCCTTAGTTAGGACGTTCATCCACTTGGGGCAGCCGGCCAGTGAGTCTGGCTAGAGTCATTACTCTAATCAAGAGTACGCAAAATGAACCTGGAGACCAGTCATTCAGGAAAGCAGCCTCATTCTGTTTTTATAATTGGGTGTGAATTTTCAATTGTGTAGTCCAGAGGAGCACAGGGGGAAGACAGGCTGGAGCACAGAAGCAGCTCCTGGTGTCTAATTAGACAGGTGACCTACAGCAAGTTTCAGATTGGGTTTGTTGCTTCCCCAGTCCCAGCTTTCCTGTGGAGATATGGCTCAAGTGTAGATGAATGAATGAGGGCCATGCATAGAAGTGATGTTGCTAATTTTACTCTTTGAGTCCTGCTAGCAGGTGCCACCTGCCTCAACCAAGGACATCTCTTGATGGCTACTGGAGCTCAGCAGCCAGCCTGGAGGCATCCTTCCCCTTCTGGAATTTATGCCAAATTCCAGATGGTCTCTTATAAAGGCTGACCTCAGTTTCTATGCCAGGGTAAGCTGTGACAAGTCGTGATTGTGCCTGTCATTTGTGACGTTTTATACTTACACTGAACTTTGTCAATTCTATGGTACAAATTGTCACCGAGCTCTGGTTTAGGAAGCAGGAGAGCTATGAATGACTTATTTTAACCTTATTAATTAGTCTCTACATACATTGTACCTTCGGCCACACCACTGTCAGCACCTATCTTTCCTTTGCAGTTAAAAGTTTACATCTTGTTTGTATCTTCTCATCTATAGCAGTCACTGCTATATTCGCTGCTTTTCTTCAGTTAGGCCACTTGTGAGCTTTTGTTCTATTTATCTTATAGACATTTTAGAAAACTAATGAATCTGTTTTTGTCCAGAGCATGACTTCCAGACTGTCGCCTCTATTCTGGCTATGCTTAACCTCTGACCAAGAGGCACAGGCTGTGTGTATAATTCTTTACATAATGCACTGACTTCCAACCTACCTGAATCTTGAACTTGCTTTTACTCCTGCTTTATATTCCTCAAACCCAGTTAAATTCTTCCTTCTGCATCTGGTTATACTTGGATAGAAACATTACCAGCCAGTGTGAATTGAGTATTCCTCCCACACCTCATCCTAAACTGGCACTGGCAATACCAAAAACCCTTGGCATTTAGCTCATGGCTTTCTGTCCTGAGAGGCAGTCTTGGAGTGGATTAGACTTGGACAACATTCTGGAGCCATATTCCTGGGGTTTGATTTCCAGCTTTGTCCATTTCTCCAGTTTATTCTGACTATCACACCTAAGTTCAAACGCCTTTGAATGACTTCTATTGCCCATTAGAAGTTTCATGCAATTTCTATCAAACTACCAACATCATCTTTCACATGACTAGAAAAACGATTCCAAAATTCATATGGAACCAAAAAGAAGGCTGAATAACCAAAGCAATCCTAAGCAAAAAGGACCAAGTCGGAGGCATCACATTACCCCACTTCAAACTATATCATAAAACTACACTAACCAAACACCATGGCACTGTTACAAAAACAGCATGGTACTGGCACATAAACAGGTTGGAAGTGAATGCATTGTATAAAGAATTATACACACTGCCTTTGCCTCATGGTTAGGGGCTGAGCACAGCCAGAATAGAGGTTATAGGCTGGAAGTCATGCTCTGGACAAAGACACATTTATTCATTTTCTAAAACGTGTAAAAGATCAATGGAACAAAAGCTCACAACTGGCCTAGCGGAAGAAAGGCAACAATGGAACAAAAGAGAGAACCCAGTAATAAAGCCATAATCTACAGGCCTCTGATCTTTGAGAAAGTCAACAAAAATAAGCCATGGGGAAAGGACTTCCTATTCAATAAATTTTAATAAATGGTGCTGGGAAAACTGGCTAGCCATATGCAAGAGAATAAAAGTGAACTCATGCTTTTCACCATATACAAAAATTAATTCAAAATGGATTAAAGATTTAAATGTAAGACCTCAAACTATAAGAATCCTAGAAGAAAACCCAGGAAACATCATTCTAGACATCAGACTTTGGAAATAATTTATTATTACTAAGTCCTCAAAAGCAATTGCAACAAAAACAAAAATTGACAAGTGGGACCTAATTAAACTAAAGAGCTTCTCCACAGCATAAGAAACTATCAACAGAGTAAACAGACAGCCTACAGAATGGGAGAAAATATTCACAAACTATGCACTCAACAAAGATCTAATATCCAGAATCTGTAAGGAACTTAAACAATTTAACAAGTCAAAACAAAATAACCCCTTTAAAAATGGGCAAAACACATGCACAGACATTTATCAAAAGAAGATATACTAGCGGCCAACAAATATATGAAAAAATGCTCAACATTACTAACCATTAGAGAAATATTGATCAAAACCACAATGAAATACTATCTCACACCAGTCAGGATTGTTATTATTAAAAAGTCAAAAAGCAGTCAATGTTGGTTATGCTGCAGAGGAAAGAAAACACATATACATTATTGGTGGGAATGTAAATTAGTTCAGCCACGTTGAAAGCAGTTTGGAGATTTCTCAAAGAACTTAAAACACAAGTACCATTCCAAGTAGCAATACCATTATTGGATATATATCCGAAAGAAAATAAATTTTTCTACCAAAATGACACATGCACTCCTATGTTCACTGCAGCACAATTTACAATAGCAAAAACATGGAATCAACCTAGGTGCCCATCAACAGTGGGTTAGATAAAGAAAGTGTGGCACATATATGCCATAAAATACTATGCAGCCATTAAAAAATAATACAATTATGTCCTTTGCAGCCACATGGATGTAGCTGGAAGCCATTATCCAAAACAAATTAACATAGGAACAGAAAACAAAATATGGCATCTTCTCCCTTATAAGTGGGAGCTAGACACTGGGTGCTCATGGACATAAAGATGGGGACTATAGAGTTGAGAGAGTAGGAAATGGGGAAAGACTGAAAAACTAACTACTGGGTACTATTCCCACTACCTGCATAAGAGATTATTTGTATCCCAAACCTCAGCATCACACAACATACCTGTGTAACAAACCTGCACGTGTACCCCCTGAATCTAAAAGAGAAGTTGAAATTATTTTAAAAAATAACATTAAAAAATAAAAAGAAAAGAAATTTCATTTTCCCCTGTCATTCTCAAGCCTCCGCATTAAGCCATTATTTTCCTTCCAAGCGACACAAACCATTTCTTTCCTCCATCTGCCCCTTATGCCAGACCTCTAGGCCACTCACTTTGCTCTCTACAACATTTCTATTCGTAAGCTCCTGCCTGAATGGCAGACTCACTCTATAAAAATGCTGCAAGTTCCTTGATTTCCAAGAAATATTTCAAAATCCACTTCTTTATGAAATATTATTTTATTCACCCAAGTTTTATTTCTTTCTTCTTTGACCTGTGTACCCCTGTTGTTAACTCACAATAATATACCTTGCATTTTGTTATTCATTCATTTTTTTCATTGATCCTTGCTTTCATGGAATATATGTCCTTGATTTATCTTGATACCCAGTTGAATTCAAGGTTCCTTAAATGACTGAGACTATGTCTCTATCATTTTTGGACCATTTATACTGACTATGTTTGGTCATTTTCCTTAGGAAATAGACTCTGAAATGGAGATTTGCTTGCAGGTAGATGATTTAGTCCTGTTGGAAACCCATGGAGGGAAGCAGGGTTGTGAAGAAGTAGAACAAAGATGAACTTTCTACAAAAGTTCAGTGATGAACATTGCAGCCAATTCCACAAGGAACTCTGAAGCTTGGATGGGCGGAGTTGTAACCTCAAAGAAAACAATTCCCCGGGAGATTCCCAAGGACTCAGCCCTTTGCTGTCAGCAGCCCACACTTCCAGCAGCTTGAGGAATGAATGTTTCAGTCTTGAAGGGAGGCCGGCACAGCGTGCCATCTCATTCACTACACAAGCATAGAGCCTTATACGTGGCCAAAGTTCAGTAAATATTTGCTAAAGTATATTTAAAGTGATTCGTGAATGTCTTATAACTTCTGATAAAGTATATTTAAATATCTAAATTATTGTATAATTTATTAATGCACCTAATTAGTGCTAGGAACAATTTGCTGAGCTATGACTGTTTCTTGGAGTGACTCTATGTGAGAGTTCTACAAAGAGTCATAGATTTCCCTCCCCAGCTGAGAGCCATGATTGAGACTCTGTTAGGCTTTAACCTTTCCACAATAGGTATTTGGACACTTATATTTTAAAGTTAAAGTCATTAATATTACCTACAACACTTTCTACCCTTCTAAGTTATTTTCAGGTTCCTAACAAAATGTTGACTAAAAAGACAAATCCCTCTGAACCTCATGGCCATAGGAGCCCTGACACTCTGTGAAGCATATAACATACGATTAAATAACCCTCTAGCACCATGGGTCCTCCCTGCTCCCCCACCCCCACCGGGCAGGGGAGGATTCAGATTTTATGGGGCTGAAAAGCTAAACAATTGGGGGTTCTTAGTTTTAAAATGTAATCTAAAACCATTTCCCTTTTGAATATTTTATGAAACATTGTATTTGGGGTCTCTACGAACTCCAGGTTTGAGGATATGGCTAGGCAGACATAGGATTCAGCATTTAATTGTACTCACAGTTTCATGGCTATGATTTATTACAGTGAAATGATGCAAGGCAAAATCAGAAAAGGTAAAAGGTTCATGGGGCAAAGACCAGAGGAGACCAGGCACAAACTTTCAAGAATCATCTCCCAGTGGAGTCACACAGGACATGCCTAATTCCTCAAGATTGTGACAGGGATGAAATGTTGCCCACCAGGAAAGCTCAATAGTGACTCAGCGTTCAGGGTTTTTTAAATTTAGAGCTGGTCACCCGACACCTTCTGCCTGGCATGTACCAGAATTTCAAACTCTCAGGAGGAGAGCAGGTGTTCAGCATATATTATTTTGTTCGTAAAATTATTTTGTTCGTAAAAACAGGCACAGTGAGCCAATCTTATCATTTTGGGAATGGTGGGACCTCTCCCAAAATCCACGTTCTCAGATAAACACCAAAGGCCAACCTTGCAATCAGGCTTTTTCAAGGACAGCACTTTCAGACTTGCTAGGTTAACTCCTTTCTGTGTATATCTGCACCTTTGCACCCATTACTAGGGGTCCTCCCAGGCAGGGCCTTGGAAGGGCTGTGCAAGTGAGGGATCCAGATGGTGAGCCTTTATCAGCTCCAGGGTAAGTGCTTCTCTGGTTCCAACCATACTGACACACTTTCAATACCTTAATGCACTTGCTTTGCATGTGCTAGTCTTTTGTCTTGAGCTATTCTTGCTCTTTATTCTCTTCTTCACCAAAATCTTAATCCTTGTTTAGCTTTCAGAGTTACACCCTCTTGGAAGTCCATGGAACTGGTGTTTCTGTTTTATGTTGCTTTCTGCTACGAACCCATACGGAATACGCATATTCCTTATCATAGCACTTTACATAGTGCATGGTAATTACTTTAGCATTTTCCCCCATTTCCCCATGAAATCTGAGTTCCTTGAGAACAAAATCTATTTAGTCTTCACGTTTTATTCATGAGCCTAGCATTATGCTTGACATATAACATACTTACGTTAATATTAGAATAATGAAGGATGAACGTACTTACTAGTTTTGACAAGTGTTACCACAGCACTGCAGTTAGTCCTGTGATAGATATTTATTTAAATATCTTGGGTTAAATTGAGGCATGTGTTAACTATCAGTGTTAATAGTATAGTGGTATCAGAGAAAAACTTCTGTTATTGTCGTTAAGTCTATAAACCTATTGGAAAACTTCTCCTACCAGAACATAATTAGTTAAAACATGAGTAAAAAACAGTCAAAGAGGAGTTATGTGTCCCAGATAGACTTGCCATTGAAAAGTTGGGTAGATTTTCATGCAACTATATATGCTATAAAAAGACAACTGCTTCTTATTTGGTAACATTGATTAATATTATTTTTCAAGTCTGTGCATATAAGCATGATATCTTAATTGACATTAACTAGAGTTAAATTAATTGTATTGTTTTCAGAAATCTCTGAAATCTGTTACTGAAGTAGGCATTATTAACTTTGTTGTCATTATTTTAAAATGCATTTCAAGATCTGCAATCACCCAAGCCATCCTACTGTGAATTCTAAGGCTCAATGATATGTCATACATTGCTTCTATAAAACTTTAGGAAGTATGTTACTTTATTTATTTATTTATTTATTTAGAGACGGAGTCTTGATGTGTTGGCCAGCCTGGAATGCAGTGGCGTAATCTCAGCACACTGCAACCTCTGCCTCCCGGGTTCAAGCTCTTCTCCTGCCTCAGCCTCCCAAGTAGCTGGGATTACAGGCACCCACCACCATGTCCGGCTAATTTTTGTATTTTTAGTACAGACCAAGTTTCCCCATGTTGGCCAGGCTGGTCTGGAACTCCTGACCTCAAGTGATCTGCCTGTCTCAGCCTCTCAAACTGCTGTGATTACAGGCATGAGCCACTGCGCCCAGCATGTATGGCACTTTAAAACTGCCACTCTTGGCATATGGAATACATGCACACACTTTTGTATTCTATATTCATTCATATATGCAAAAGATAAAAGTGGAAAGAGGAACAATCTGTTTATTGTATATCACACAGGCAGGCTCTCTGTGAGATTAACATTTTAGCTGCCTAATGAAGTTGCAGGTGACTGGTCTCTCTGTAAGTCCCAGCATTGGCTATCAGCAAAAATTAGAAAGGAAAACATATTTCTTGAATCTAGTGCTCATAGTTTTGGTTAGAAATAGTCTACTCTGAAAGAATTTACAACTGAGGAGATGAGAAGAGAATGAGGATTCAGCAGCAACAGCAATAAAGTTTCCCAGGAGAATGAGTATTAAAAAAGTTGAGGCAGGATGTCCACTGTCTGAGCTGGAAATAGTCTTGCAATTAAGGAGGGTGAAAAGAAGCTTGGCTTGAGAGAAACGGAAGAGGGAGTTGAGGTGATTGACGTTCCCCAAGGACCCTCTTCATTTGTGTTTGTTTCAAGGCTTTTTCTGGTGACATAGATAATTACTGGATTGAAGGTCTCTATTTTGCTAGGCTGTTTATGAGGAGATTACTAAACAAAAGATAAGAGAAAGTCAAGAGCTGATGAAGGAAAGTAATCTAGCCTGTCTTGCTCTCTGCTTTAGATGGAACACGTGAGGGTGAAAAACAGATCATTGATTCCAGTTGATGTTTATAATATAGAAATAGCAGAGTTATCCTCCTTTACAGAAATTTCTTAAATCCATTAGTACCTTACTTAGGTGGACTTGTTCTTGTTTATGAGATTGTTCACATGAGTTTGCGGTCAAGAAAGGTGAGCCTTCTGCTTTTAGGCTTAATATTTGCAAATCCCTGTGAAATTTAAGAGCATAAATCTGTAGTGCAGAGATCTGGAGTCACGCCCAGGCTCTCCTGTCTGCCAGTTCTGTGAGCTCATATAGGTTTTACAATCCCTCATGCCTGGTTTTCTCCATTGTAAATGGGCAATTATAAACACTGTCTCAGTTTGTAACCTGAGGTATATGTATTTAATGAAGTAAATTTAATGAAGTAGATGCTGAATAGGCACTTTATAACTATTTTTTAGATGAATGTATATAAAGCACTTACTGCATAATGCACTTTGTAAATTCGAAATAACAGTAGTTACCATCTGCCATGTTAAATGAAATATACTTGAGACATCTTGAACTTTTTCTTGATAAACCAAGGCCATCATTCTGAGCATCAGTTACTGTTTTGTGCTGTAGCACAATCAGGAGCCTCCTGTATTGCTGGAATACATTAGGACAATTTGTATGTAAGCATGCACGTGAACCACTCCCACACATACCCAGTGGCTTTTAAAGTCTTTAAATCTTTTTCCATTATTATTCTAATTTTCATACATGTATTTTATTTTTGTCAGTGTTTTTACATCCGTTTTCTCACTCTTCTAATAATTTGCTCTGTATGAGCTGCTGTTAGCTCTGAAACCATTTGAGAGACTTGATAGAAATGTGAATTAGCTCAGAAGGAGCAACTTCACTGGAAGAAGGTAAGGTTTCATGCACAGTCCTGGCGACATCTACTTGATTCTCCCTGTGGCCTTTTAAAATTACTGATCCCTGGGTTTAAAAAATTTTATCAATGCAGCAGCCAAGTAAAGTACAATTTAAAAGTTTAGTTTTTCTCACTGGCAATGTGAATTGCCATATGCCAAATTTTTAAATTCTTTTTTTTTTTTGGAGACAGAGTCTGCAAACATGGCTTACTGCAGACTTGATCTCCTGGGCTCAAGGAATCCTCTAGCCTCAGCCTGCCTCCCTTGTGGGACCATAGATGCTCACCACCACACCCAGCTATTTTTTTTTTATTTTTTGTGGAGTTGAAGGCTTCACTTTGTTGCCAAAGCCAGTCTCAAACTCCTGGGTTCAAGTGATCCTACTGCTTTGGCCTCCCAAAGTGCTGGGATTACAGGCGTGAATGACAGTGCCTGACCCAAATTTTTAAATTCTTAATTCATTTATATGCATTATGAAAAACTAAAAGTTTAGGGAATTATTTAAAATACCTTAGCATTGAGGCTGATTTTTCTTTTATTTTGCATTCTACTCCACATGACAATGAATTGTATTTTTGCCTCAGTCCTCATAATTTCATTTTCATTTAGGATATGTATTGTGGGAATAAAGTATAGTTCATTTATTGTCAGGTTTGTAGCATGGAACTTTCTAAAATGGGTCTAAGTACAGATTTTGAAGGTGTGAATTAATAAAATTTTTCTAGAGAAGCATTTCATTTCCATATGTAATGTAGTGTTTCTGCATGAATGGACTATTCTTTGTATTTTTAGATTTTACAGTTGTTGCTTTTCATCAAGATTTGGCCTAGCTGAAAATAATCCCTCAAAGATTTACTGTGCAGTAGTGGAAGTTAAATCTATTTTTAAATCAACAAGTGCTTATTAAAATGCCAACTTTGTACTAGGCACTGCTGTTAACATTTTACAAATATTAACCCATTGACTCTTATAACCCTTTGAGATGGATGCTATTATTGAGCTCATTTTACAGATAAGGAAATTGCAATATAGAGAGGTTAAGTAATATGACCAAAGTCACACAGCTAATAAAGGGCAGAACAGAATTTGAATGCAGGCAGTGTAATACCACAGTCTATGAACTTAATCAAACCTGAGAATTGTCTGCATCAAATAGCAAATTGAAGAACTCTTTATCTCTACATTTTGTAATCCTAGTTTAAAGAAGTTCTCTTGATTATATTTAATTACTATAACATTAAATATTTTCACCAGTTTTGAAAATAGGGTTTTTATGTTACCTAAGACATATTAAGTGAACAAGCCAAAAATGGCTATGTCGTTTTTGTGTGTGTGTGTGTGTGTGTGTGTGTGTGTGTGTGTGTGTTGCAATTATATAGCAAGTAAAATGGAGATTTTGTTTATTTTTAAATAGTAGATTATTGGTTTAAATCTTATATTTCCAATATAGTTATTTCATTATTTCTTAAGTTATTGAAAATGCTGGATTATTTTTCTTCTTCCTCTTACTATTTGTTCTTATTTCCTTATTACCTGTATGTGTCTTTACTAGTCATTATCAGTGGGGGCAAAGAAAATAGCCAGGCACAGTGGATTATGCCTGTAATCCCAGCACTTTGGGAGGGCGAGGCAGGTGGATCACTTGAGGTCAGGAGTTTGAGACCAGCCTGGCCAACATGGTGAAACCCCGTCTCTACTAAAAATACAAAAATTAGGCGTGATGGCACATGCCTGTAATCCCAGCTACTCGGGAGGCTGAGGCATGAGAATTGCTTGAACCTGGGAGGCAGAGGTTGTAGTGACCCGAGATCATGCCACTACACTCCAGCCTGGGCGACAGAACGAGACTCTGTCTCCAAAAAATAAAAAAGAGAAAAAACAGTCAAACTTCAAATTAGTAAATTTAGACAAACTATAGCAGAATTGGTGAAAGATTATTCAGTGTGGGGTTGAAATCACTAATAAAAATATATTTTTTTAGATCTATTCTGTCCTCCATATGAAAATATAAATCATGGTCTCATTTGTTTCTCCTGGGTATCTGTGTGTTTGTGTGAGTTTGAGAGAGAAACAAGGATACATTATAACTTTAAAAGTATTTATAGCCTTTGATAATAAGGTGATCAATTGAAGAAATTAACAGTATTCTAGTATTTCATTTAGCTGAAGCAAGATATGCTTTACCGACTTTTAGCTATCCTCCTTTTTTCCTCTTTCTGCTTAGGAATTCCACTAAGTTGGCATGTAAACAGATCACAGGCTGTGTCAGTTTAAAACTTCTTGTTCTGGGCATGCCATTTATTTTGCTAAGCCTGTAGCACTAGGGAGTATTAGCAAAAGCATAATTTACCTTATAGTGACAGTCTCCCGAAACACAGGAAACCTGCCTTTCTTGTGTCACTGAGCGAACAAAGGTAAAGTTAAAGGTAGTGGGCAGAAAGGAAAGAAAGGGTGGGGTTGGGGGGTGGCATTTGGATGGAAAAAAAAAAAAGGGAAAAAACTTTGTCCTCAGAGAGAAATGGTGGGTGGGAGGAAGTAGATTGTAGACCTAGATGGGAAAGGAAGCTTGGGCATCAAAAGATTAAGGATGTGTGAAATATAGATTAACGCCCATGGGAGTCTGACTGATAAAAAAGCTGGGACAACAGGTCTCGCTCAGCAGCCCTGAGAATCAGGCTTCCAGGGTGGTTTCCTACACTGGGCGTCTTGTCTGAGTTTACCTAGGCTAATATATTTTCCCATCTCTCCTTGGGACTCTACTTCTGTAAGGGGAAGATACAGTACAATTTGCCAGAGGTATTTGCTCAGTTATTCAAGATCTTAGACAAAAGGCTGTCTTGTTCCTAGAAGCTAGAATGTTAGAATTGAGTTAGCCTCTTGCAGTTTCTTCTGGATCTATCAGTCTCAATATACGTGAGTTACAGTTTTCATTGTTTTCTTACTTAAATCATTTTGATTGTCAGAGATATTTTTAAAGATTTGAATGTCACAGGTCTCACAGTTTCATTTTACTAATTCTTGCTTGTGTGTCTTAAATATTTTTTATCAATTTTCCATTTTATATATAATATACATATAGACTGTTGCTAATGTTGTTTGTAATAATCCCTTGAGTTTATATTAGACCAAAAAACATTGTACCAACTACATTTCCCAATTAAAAGGAAAAGGAAAAGGAAGAAAATAAACTGAGGATAATTAGCACTTTAACTTTATGGCCCTCCCTGATTGAATCTAGCTCTGCACACAAACACACACGACTACTAGCAAAAACACTCCCCCCCTCCAAGATCTTTATAGAAGGCCTTTTATATCCTCTTCCTTCTTTCCTGTATTTCTATAAATGGGAAAAATATGTTTGAAACAAACATCCTGGTGTTACAAATTTCTAACACTTTATCTAATACCATGTCATATTACCAGAAACTTCAGAGAAATCAGGAGTCCTTGTAGACTAAATTATTGATGATAAACTAACTCGCCTGCATAGGTATAAATCCCACCATAGTAATAAAAATTGATTTCAGGGCAGTTAGTTTCAAACATTTATTTATTCATTGGCATATGAAGGTATAGATAACATAAAAATAAAGTTCCTAGTCTTAAAAAAGAGTCGTTTAATCCTATATTAAAAGATTTATATTGCATATTGACTTTCCTCTATGCAGTTTTTACTTGGAACTTTTAAAGATTTTTGTCTGCCACAGGAATTCTTGATGACTGAGGAGTTTTAGTTCTTATTTTAGTTAATCCTAATTTTAGTTATTCATATGCATAAATTTCAAATCAATCTATTAATGTTTGTCAAACTGCAGAAAATATAAAACATGGTATTTCTGTTTAGTAATGAGACCAATTTTATTTGTGTGTGATTGTTGAAATCAAATAAGACATTTTGAAATAAGGTTATATTACTAGTTTACCAGAATTTTTATGTTTCATTCACTTAGGTTTTACATAAAATTTGCATTCATTTTTACATAACATATTCTGTTTCTCCTCTTTACTAGAATTGAATGGTATTATCTTTAGAATGTCTAAATAAAGTTCTTATGTATAATGCTTGGTAATTACTCATAAATGCTGTTTTCTCTACCAGATACATTTTGCAAAAGAATGTTAAGAGGAGAAAAACACTTGCTTATTACTTTCAGTAAAGGATATTAAAGTTTAGTTGAATTTTCTAGCAGAGTCATGAAATAGAGTAAATATTAAAATATACTATAGTGCTTATTGAAAATATTGGGAATCAAAATTCTGACTTTTCAAGGCCAATTTGCAATACACCATAGACTTATTAGTGCCAGAATTTACTTTAGGCAATCCAGTTAAAACATGTCTTATTACAAGATGGAGAAAAAGAGGCCAAAAGTATTAAGTTTGTGAGTTGGATCACATACAATTACATATTATGTTAAATATTCTTAGCAACAATCATTAAATTAAAAGTCTATCCTCTTCAGTGTCTTGCTGAGCTTTATTAAGATTGCAGGTATTCAATAGAACAAAGGAGTAAATTCAATCCACCCCTGCCCTTAAGGTAGAGAGAGAAATAAAGCCAATACAGATAGTGAATAATGTGATGGGAAGGGTATTTTAGGAACTGAAAGAAACAGGTAAATAACCCAAGCCTAGAAACTTGGCGCATGGGTGGCATGATGGAAACCATAGCATGGTGGTGGGCAACAGGAAGGGAAGGGAGACCTGAGCTGAGTTTTGGACTATAAATTATTGGCAAGGACTGCATCTGATGTTAGTAGTCTTTCCACTGTATTCTTATGCTAAACATCAATGAAAATCAAAGTGTTATATGAGTTATTTACTACGTCCTTTTTTATCCAATTGCTTAATGCTATAGGCTCTTAATGTAAGCTTAATATTAATTAGGCTTAATATTAATGCAATTTTCTTTAATTCTGAAGTCATTCAAGTGTAGACAGGCATGTGAGAAATTTATGCAAAAGATATGAGAATTGGTTCCTAATATGTACTTCAATACTATTTAAATTGATGAACCCATGGTCTTTTGATTGTTTTGTTTTCCCTATGGACTCCATTTATTATTCATTCATTGAGAAATAGAAATGTAGACTTAAAATTTTTAAAAAAACATTTAGAACAATAGAATAATTTATATGCCTGCTTCAAATGTTTGTTTATGACACATGGCCAATATAAAAAAAAAAGATCTTTAATAGAGTTCTGAGTTTAAAGGATCAGTGTCACAAATTTTTAGAAACTAAATGTCAAATGAATTCTTTCTATAAGTCATCCTTTTTATTAGATTTTCTGTATGATATTTGTATCCAAATAGGATTTTACAAAATAGAAATCAATCCATTTGCATTGGGAATTGAGAAATTTACACACACAGAAAATCAAACGCACCAAATATACAATTTATACAGTCCATATTAACAAGCAGTGTAGTAGGTATTTAGGCAAGTGATATTACCTAGGATTAATATTTAGCATCTATTATTTTAATAGGTGATCATTATGCCTTTCATACGTAACAACTATTATATCTAAAAGACAGCTCTTTTCAATATTTAAAAATCTAGAAAACATAGACTGCTTTTTATTTTGATTTCTTGTAAATTCACATCCTCATATGCCTTTTTATGAGACTTTATACGTATACCAAAGGAACTATATGTTTGTATACAAAATATTTATACTTTTGAATAATTTTAAATTATAATTCAAATAAAATTCAGATTTTTTTATTACTAGCTGTGAAACTTTGGACTTAACATCACTGAAGATTAGTATACTCATCTGTAAAATGGGATATTTACAGGATTAATTTATAGGCCCATTTCAAGAATAAAACTAAATCCATGCATAACATCTAATAGAGTGCCTGATACACAATAATGCCTAATTAATGTTAGCTGACCTTTGTCATTGTTATTATTGTCATCATTACTTTTTTAAACATAAAAAAGTATCAGTAAGTATTATATGGCAATTGTTTTTCTTTTGTTGCAGGATAATAATGGCTGTTTTAGTTTTCTCTGTGTTCTAAATTTTTCTAATTTTTTATAATATAAAATTTATATTTAGCAATGGCTGTTTCATCAATATATACTCTTTTACTACTTCTTTATAAAAATTTTAGTTGATCCACCTATACATAAATTTCAAATCAACCTATTAATGTTTTCAAAGTCTTTGACTCCTTCCTGTTCTATGTGAAATTCAGATTAGAACCAGTTCTCAATTATCTGTAGCAATTGGTCTTGGTCTGTACAGTTAAAGTACATGCAAAAAAGACACAAATGCTTTCTCACATGTGTCTTTCAGTCTAAGAGGAACTGCAACAATACTAGGTCCCTGCAATTTTCATTTGTGTACTGGCCTTTTTTAAAGACACTATGGTTACAGAGAGCATGATTTTTTCATGGAATTGCAAATTCCAGCATGGATAGATCCCAGGATGAAAAGCAGGAAACTAAAGAGGGGACAGATTAAAAATGACTCACAATATATAACAAGGGTTTTGATCTTGATTGTAAGAGAAACAGGTACCAATAAAGCTATAACAGAAGGTAGAGACTTGCTAGCTAGGTAGCATAGTTATATCTAGGGTGAAGGGGAGGTAGTGATTTTAGATTATCCCAGATTTCTAGCTTGAGTAACTTGGTGAGCATTTCCCCATACAAGAGAGGGAAAATAAGGAACAGATTGGAGTGGATTATGGAAATGAATTCCCTAAGTTTAGGACATTATATCTCTTGTATCTCAGGCCAGAACAGTTTATTCTCATGTATTGCCATCTACCACATAACGATTTTTCGGTCAATGATGGACTGCAGATATAATGGTGGTCCCCTAAGATTATAATACTGTAATTTTATTGTACTTTTTCTGTGTTTAGATATGGCTTGCCATTGTGTGACAATTGCCATACAGGTTTGTAGCTTAGGAGCAATAGGCTACAGAACATGGCCTAGACGTATAGTAGATTATACCATCTAGGTTCATGTAAGTACACCTTGTATGTTCATGTATGTTCACATGAGAATGAAATCACCTAACCATGTATTTCTCAGATTGTATCTCTGTTGTTTATCAACACAGGAATTGAAATTTTTTTGTGTAGCACTAATCTTATATTTCTGTAGAGCCTGATACTTTTCCAAAGTGCTTTCCCATGTGCTACCTCACTTTATCCAGGAAAGTCCGGGAAAAAAGGGAAAACACGCTCCATCTACTTGTAGAAAACAAGTCTTAGAGATCAAATGCATATGAATTGGCATGTCTAGAACTGAAGTCAAGATCATTGTGCTTTAATCACTCAAGAATCTTTTTGGGTAAAGATGAAAGCTTATTTGAAGAGAACATAGCAGGATTTATGAAGATCTTTTCCCGTCCTCATAGAAAAAGAAAAAAAAAATCTCTATGCTTAAAAATTTGCTAATCTTGCTGAGAAACCCAAAGAGCATTTTCTGCTGAAAAGTAGTGCACAGCAGGTAAATGCTGTAATGATATTTACTCAAAGAGCTTAAAATTTGTTAAAAGGAGATTCATACCAGGATCTTAGAAGTCAACTTCTGCATGCATTTTATAAGTGAATAACAAATGCTGTAAATAGTGTATTTTGTAGGGAGAAAGTGACATAGTGTCATCCTTAATGATGTGAAAGCAAACTCAGGAAAAGGTTTTGTCTTTTTAAAATAGATTTTGATTACATCTCAGCAAATTATTTTATGCTCATCAGTTGGAATTCACATTTATGTGGCAATGGAGATATTTTAATGCAACTACTGAATTGAAATACCATAAATTTTTCAGTGGTTTATTTCTGAAAGAATGTTGAGAACTATAATTTTGGCTTAAAAAATGAAATAACCCTGAATTTGGCATTAAAAAATACACTGAATGGCCAGTCAAGAACCACTGTAGCAAATAATATAACAGTATATATACTTGCAGAGTATCTATGTATTTCAGAACTGGGTTGAGGGGCAGAAAAGTTGGAGGATAGGTAGGCAGTGGCCCTTTGTGTTTGTCAAAGTTAGACTTCGGCTCAAATCCCAAATCTGGAGATGCCTGTCTTGGTGGTCTTGGTGAGTGGAACACTTTTCTTGGCCCCTGTTTCTTCATGTGTACACTGGGGATAGTAATACTTTATGTGGTTTTAAGAGGACTAAATGCAATAAATATTTGTTCATGCAGAAATATGTACCAAGGGACAATTATGTGCCTGACACTATTTTAGATGCTTCTGATACATAAGTGAATAAGCAAGTATTCCTGCCCTCCTGGAGATCTTATATGTGAAGAGCTCTGCAATGTGTCTGGCATCAATGGGTAATAAATTGTAGTTGTGAATGAGATTATGACGGCTTGGTAAATCTATATTTACTTAAATGGAGGAAAACAGTAATTTTAGAAATCTCTTCTACCTCCCATATCTTCTACTTAATTTTTTTCTTAGATGTAAGTACAAAACAAAAGGCATAATATTTTCCCTACTAGGTAATGGGCTTTCATACTAAACAGTATCAGTATCCTTGCTTTTTAAAGGTAAAATAACTTTCAGATCCCTCAGTTTTCATATAAAAGAAGGATTTGCATTATTATAGGTCACTAGTGTTATATTGATCAAATCACTACTTCAGATTTAAAGAAATTTTCATTCTCCAAAGGCTCAACATAGTTTCAATAATTCATTATCATAGGTATCTTCACATCTGCTCCAAGTGTTGCCTTACCCCTCTCCAGCTCCCAACTCATATAAACCTTTTATAATGAAATGATTATGAGGATGATTGAGCTTTTGTGTTTGAAATATGACTGGTTAGTAAACTTTGGAGTTTGACAAACTATATAAATTTCAGTAAAGGTTCAGTTGACATTTTCTGAATCTATATTCATGGACTGGCTCTCTGATTTTTTTGAGAAACCAGTAATATCAGGTATGATTGTAAGTTGCTGGTGAAAGCCCAATGACGTAAAATTGTATTGTAAGCAGTATTCCTTTTGGTATTGATATTTGTCTCCTCTTTTTGTTTTGCCTCATGTGAATATTGTAGGCATTTTTCTTGCTTGTTGTTTGTAGACAGTAACTATTACCAAGTGTGTAACACAGTTTAAACTCAAAATAAATTTAAGAAGTCTAGTTAAAACACAATTGCTGGGCATCACTATAGATCTCATGGACATTAAAAGGATAATAAAGTAATACTGTGAACAATTCTCTACTCAGAAATTTGATAATTATGATGAAATGAGCCAAATGCATGAAAGACACAATCTGACAAAACTCACACAAGAAGAAATAGACAATGAAAAATAGTCTTATATTAATCAATAATTAATAACCTTTCAAAACAGAAAGCACCAGGCCATGATGGGTGGTTTCTACAAAACATTTAAGGAAGAAATTACACTAACTCTCTATGATGTCTTCCAGAAGGTAGAAGCAGAGAGAATACTTCTCAAGTCATTCTTTCAGAACAGCATTATCTTAAAACCAAAACCAGACCAAGACATATGAGAAAAGAAACCATAGGCTAATATCTCCCTTGAACATAGATACAAAAATCCTCTACAAAATATTAGCAAATTGAATCCAATAATATATTTTAAAAATGTAGATGGCACAACTAAATAGGATTTATCTCAGTTATGCAATGCTGGTTCAACATGTAAAAATCAATTAATGTAAACCTTTATATCAACAGATTAAATGAAGAAATATCATTTGATCATATAAATAGATACATGAAAAGTATTTGACAAAATCTAACACACATCCATAATAAAACTCTCAGCAAAGTAGGAATTGAGGGGAACTTCCTCAACTTGATAAAAGACATTTACAAAAATCCTACAGCTAACAACATACTTAATGTTGAGAAACGAGAAGCTTTTTCACTAATATCAGAAAAAAGGCAAGGATGTCCTCTCTCACCATCTCTTTTCAATACAGTACTGGAAGTCCTAGCTTATTCAGTAAGAGAAGAAAAGGGAAAAAAAATGTATATACATTGGAAAGGAAGAAATGAAACTTCACAGATGACATAATTGTCTGTGTAGAAAATCTAAAAGAATTGACAAAAAACTTCCTGGAACTAATTAATGATTATAGCAAGTTGGTATGACCATATAATGGTAGATATACATGTGTGTAGAGGGTGTATCTGTGGCTATTGGGAACTCTGGTTTTTGTTCAGTTTTGCTGTTAATCTAAAACTGCCTTAAAAATAGTCTATTAAAAAGGAGAAAATTCAATTGCGTATGTAATAGTAGGGAAAAAGTACCACATAAACATGTTGTATACTGAATTTGCCTTGAATGTCTTAAATTAGCATGCCTTATTAGCAGCGGTAGACATGGATAGTTGGCATACTTCCTTTGGGGGAAAATGTGTTAGCTATACTCTGATAACATACACAGCTGACAATGCCAGTTAACATTCCGAAAATTTTATTATAGTGGAATATACTCAATTGTTGTATCACAGTGGAATCCAAAAATGTGTAGCTTAAGGATTTACTACAACTATTAGAGAGTGTTAATACTACGTTGCATTCGCATTTTTGCTTTTAGGATTTCTTTCAGAATAAGCAGTGCACGTTAGAGTCTCACAACCTTAACAGTAGTTGTAACAAAGCAGCTGAGTAACATAAAGTTGCCAAAGATCTGTATGGCACAAAAATGTTTGCAGTAGACAGTCTTCAAATGCCCTTGCTACAAAAAATGGTAATTTAAAACATTAGCTCACTTGATGCCAGGAGTTTCAGACCAGCCTGGGTAACACAGTAAGATTCCATCTCTACAAAATAATAATAATAAAATTAGCCAGATGTGGTGGTGTATGCCTGTATCCCAGCTACTCGGGAGGCTGAGACAAAAGGATAATTTGAGCCCAGAAGTTTGGGCTCAATCATGCCACTGCACTCCAGCCCAACCAACAGAGTGAGACCATGTCTCAAAAATAAAATAAAAAATAAACCACTGGCAAGGAGCTCAATGTGGAGAAATACAAAATTGACATTTATCTTAGAGGTGTCTTTATCAGTCACTTGTTAACCACTTGCCAGCTTACTTACTGAAAAGTTTTTCATTGTTCCTAAAAGAATTATTTAGTTTTTACCTGCTGAAGACAGTAATCTCTAGTACTGTTGCTTTCTGTGGCAAGTAATGGAACCTGGTCAAAACTTAAATCCAGAAAATACTCACTGGATTTAATGATTTAAGCAGAGTCTATAGAAAGAAAACCATATTTGATGTACTGATTGATTACACAAGATGTTGAGTTGATTTGCATATGGTACATTATTTATCAACATTGTTTTGTTTTACAAAAGCATCTAGTAGGATTTGTGTGCTAAAATAAATTCTGAACTCTCATGTATTATACACTTAGGTTTACAAATTCATATATAAGTGCCTGAATACATTATTTGTCTATTTTATATGTTGGCATAGAAAACTATATTTTCACATGACTTATCTTAGCACAATAGTGGGAAGTGTTGTAGATATTACCTACAGTTCCTTTTTGCAAATACTTTATCCTTTTAAATAATATCCTCTGCTTCCTCCAGAAATGTTGTGCAAAACATGGCCAACATGGTTGAAGTTAACTAATATATAAAATTTTCATTGGATCTAAGATAAAGTCAATCACCATTGACAACTTGAGGGGAGAGACACTCTTGCTTACAGAGTATATTCCGTATATAACAAGCTATATAACAAGTTAGATGGTGTGGTTTTCTTGTTTTGCTGGATAGTTCTATTAAGCAGGCATTTATTGAGCATTTAATTTGAACAAGCCATAATTCTACCAGGCACATTAGTGTGAGTACCGTGATTCGGCCTGAAAGTCATGGTCTTTCTTCTAAAGTTGTTTAGCATCTAGTTGCTAAGTTGACATCTGAGAATTCCTGCTGGCAGCTATTGTTCTCTTCTTTCTTTTGGTTTGTTCAGCATTTCTATAATCTGTCTCTTACCACTGCTTTGATTTTGTAAACCTTGCTATTTTAACCTAGAACCCTATGATCTGCCATATTGAAACACCAATACTTCACCAGTAGAGCATACATTTTCACTTTACTATGTCTGTGTTTATGTGACTTTCTCTTTGTATAATTCATTTCTGCTTCCTTCTCTATACAACCAAATCAAAGCACAAGACTATTGCAGGCAAACTCTGCAAAGAGTTCCCTGAACCCGGGTGCCTACCTCTCTCCCTTAGAAAGAAGGGATTGTTCATTTGTCTGGATTTTATTCATACACAATTAGCATATTCCATGAAAATAAGCAAAACATATTATCTAGTGACTGACTGTCAGGCACTAGCGTTATCTTGGCTAATTCTCAATATCACCTTGTGCAGTAAATACTCTTATCCTCATTTTATGGATGAAGATTCTGAAATATACAGTTTATGTAAGTTGCCCAGTGTTAGTACTAAGTGGCAGACCAATCATTCAAACTCAAGGATTCACTTCCAGAGTCATCTCTCTTAGCCAGTTTGCTATAGTACATGTACATACTCCATTATGAATAGTTGCATATGTACACACCAGTATCCTTGTTTTCCCCCAAACCTTAATATTAATTTTCTTAAGTTCAGCAATCATGTTTATGTGTTTCATATTCAATACTAACTAGCATTTAATATATGCTTTGTAAATACTTGCAGAATGTTTGTCGAATGGATAAGTTAAAAGGATGTCATGTTTTAGAAGAGTGTTTTAGTAATCCTGTTTTGAGGCATTTATGAAAATGTTACTTTTGCCTTCAGCTCTTCTGTACATAACCTATTTTAGATTCTTTAACTGAAGTCAAAGTTTTGGTCAATTGACAGAAAAAGAAGTCAGATTATCTCCAATATGAATGAAAACTGCTAAAGAATATTAAATTCTAGCTGCAAAAAGTTGACATGTGGGTTGGCGGTGGGGAGTAAACTTTCTGACTGCAGTCATTTTGGTATAATAGGATAATGGTCATAGGAACTTATAACACCTCTTATCTAAATTAGTAATGAAGCTTTACCATATTCTGGGTAGTGAGAAAATTGTCCATCTAGAGGCATAAGTCAGATGAGATGATAATAGGTGTCGTGTTTAACAGCAAGGCTTGCAAGTCAGCAGACATCTTCTAAAACCTAACCTTTGTTGTATATTCAGAAAGACACTTAACTTCTCTGAGCCAGGAACTGCCACTTATTAACTAAACAAATTACTTTACTTTTCTTCACCTCAGTGAAACCAAGATAAAGATACAGCCCATGTCAGGTTTTAATGAAGATTAAGTCATAGGACACTCATAAAGTGCTGAGCATATTGCCTGCACATGTCAGTACATGCTGAACTTTTATAATCGTTCAGTGCATTTAACTATGAAACATTTTAAAATACAATATCAATCCCATGGAGTTATTTGAAGAACCAAATGAGATAACAGTATGCTATGCTGGGCCCATAGGAAGCTATATATAAATCATAGCTGTGAACCATTCTATTATCAGATAAACATTTTTAAGTTTTTCCAATTGCACACCCCTTTAAATCTGTCATAACAACTTAATAATGTATTACATTTTAAGTACATTTTTGAATTGGACATTAGTATAGCACATTACTATGATTATTTACATAGTCCATGTAACCAAAACTCAAAGTAAAAAGGCTAAAAAATTGAATGTGAAATAAACATTAAATTGATTTTAAGTGAGACCTAAGTAAAGCATTGTAAGATCTAAGGAAGCTTTATGTCCCATAAACCAGTGAAGCTATATACCACCAGACCAAAGAACTAACCTATGGCTATAAATTAAGAAAATCATTACAGCAGGCACATGAAAACACTATGTCAGAACTGGAAAGAGTAACATATGATGGCAAGAATCTTCTTTTAATTATAGATCCTAGTCAATACACATATTTATATGTTTATATCAAAAATATGAATGTTTCAGTAAAAGAGATGAGATTTGAGAAAAATACAAATTATTAATAGGACTACCTTTGTTGCATAATAAGAAAACTGAATTTCATACAGACAGAGTCTCTAAACATTGATTTTCCATCAAAGACCAGGGAATCTGAAAATAATACATACATTTTTGTACACATTGGCTGAATGTGTGGAATAAAATATTATCAAATTCTAAATTACTGACTGCAAGCCAGTTACCTTCTCTCTTACTGAGGAGCACCTGGTCAAAGCATTATTTTTTTTTTCCCCCCAGCTCCATAGTCTTCCACACTTTGCCTCATTTCAGTAATGTATTTAATGTCAGGTTGCTACCATCTACAAACAACATACACATCGTGTTGTTTACCTTCGGTAGTCCTCTTTATCATGTGCATTGAAGTCCACCTTTTCTACCTGGTCTATGAAATCTTCTGCACATTCATCCTCTGACTCTTTCCCGCATCATATGCAGATCTTCACTTATTCTTACCTGGGACTTTCGGCTTCAGTCAACAATCTCACCTGCAAACTCAGGGCGTCTTACTTCTTTTCACCTAACACTATTCTCATCTTTGCCTTTTAGTTTTGCCAACACTTATGTACTTTGCTAACCTTAAGTTTCATTACCTTTTGCTTTTTACATAGTTTAATGTTCTCCATGTTAGTATGCCATATGCCCTTTCACCTCAAGTAAGTTATAGGCTTCCTAAAGATAAAAATAATTGCTTTCTATTTTGTTTTCCTATCATACACAGCACCAAGTGCATCCAATGCACTGTCAATCAATGCCTGAGAAAATATTTCGGCGTTTTTTTGTCAGGGGTTGAAGTGGCATTTAAAAACTTAAAATTCTAATTGCCCATATTTTATTATTTATGTCTCACCCAGAGTGTGAGAAATTGAGAACACATTTCTGTGCTTGGTTTTATCTCTAAATCTAATGAGAACCAGCAGAGATCATCAGAGGTTTAGAAAATATATAAGGAACAATTTTCTATAAAAGTATTTTAGTGATTCTTATGATTTCCCATCTTTTATAACCTCCTTCCTGTTGATTTTTAAAAGGATGTAAAGGAAATATTAAAAACTTTTTTTCTGTAATTCTTTCCTTTGTGGGGCACTAGATGTTAGATTTTTGTATTTCACTCTAGACTCTACCACTTCATAACTATTTTATTCAAACTCACATTAATCAACTTCAGAGTGACCTCAAGTAAGCTTAATTAACCTCTTTTGGTTTCAGTTTTTTTTCTTGATGGGGTAAGATGATATCTAAATTTCTTTCTAGCTCTCATATGTTTAGCCTATTTATGTAAAATTCTTTCCACATGTAGAGTTCATTTCAGTCCTACAAGTCTACATATTCTTGGCTTACCAGAGTAAATTATCAAGAACTAGATAGAACTGAAAAACATCACCTGAATAGGGCTGATCTCAGTAGATATAAAACTATTAACCATTTCCAAATCATCAACCTCTATTGTCTTCAGCACTTTGGCTTGATTAAAGATTTTCTCCCCCACTGATTTTTCTCTCTATTTAATCCACTTAAATTTGCATCATTTTGTTTTCTTTTATCATCACTGCTTGAGGCTTCCTGCCAGTATGAATTTTAAAGTCTTACAGTCCCTAATTCTCATCTGCTTAAATGTTATAAATGTTGTACATATCTTAGCTGCATGATTTCCTCTGGGCATTTTTGAAGCTTACTTAAAACTATGGAACCCCCTCCTCAAATATCCTGAAATTCAAGTTTGATTTGGTGTATATATCTATGGGGAAGACAACCATGGCTAAACATGAGAGTAGAAAAATACACCTGCATTCCAGGTCAAGAGAAATGTGACTCCTCTGCAGTTACGGAGAATCAGTTTATTGTTGTAATCATGCTGCCAAGATAATTGGGGTAAACCTAATAGTGTAAGTGTAGAAGCTCCAAAGCCGCACTACCTAGTTTCACATCCAGGATCTACTACTTTCTAGCGGTGTGACATTGAGCAAGATGCTCACTCTCTAACCCATAGGATTGTTACATGCATTAAATAAAGTGACATATGAAAAGCAAATGAAACAGCACCTAGTACATAACCTTCAACAAATGTTAATTGTTGTTATTATTATTAACATGTTCAAAGACAGTTTGGAGTAATCCTGTAAATAGCAGGGGAATCTCACATTCTTATTTCACTAAGATTTAGAAATATGTATAGTTTGGTAAACCTGTTTAACCTATGTTTAAATAAACAAATTTTCATATGAAGTCTATGGTCCTAGCAACATTTACGACAGGAAAATTGATTGTATTATTTCCCTTGTCTATAAGCACACTAAAGAATAGGGACTTACAAAACTATCTAAGGGAGCCCGCTATAGCAGTTAAGATGAGAACACCTGCAGCCTGATTTCCACCACACTACCTAGGGCATCTCATGGAGCACATCAAGAGGAAAGCCAGAGAAACTAAAGGTTGTTGTTAGCATCATCCATTTTCTTCAGATTTTTCTTGTCTAAAAGGAAGGAACCAAAATACAGAAATCAATGTTTATGTGCTTTTAAGGGCCTGATTTTAACTGGCAGGCAAGGCATTTGATATATGCAACTGGATTTTTGTCTTTCTCACACTTCACTGTGGCGTCTGAACAGAGCTATAGATGATCTCAGTCCGCTGTAAACAAAACAAAACAAAAATAATGCAAGTCTGCCATGTAACACCCATTAACAATGCAGCTTTAAGATACAGATATCTTCTCCTCTTGTGAATATTTACAATACTTTTTATCTCTCCTAATGCACTGTGACCTATAACACTCTACTGGAGAATTAGAGATTTGTTCTCTAGTTGTTGCATGAACTTATGATTCATTTCCTCATATAGAAAAAATGATTATTTGAGTATCAGAGCCTTATCTTATATCTCCTTGAAACCTCCCATATTTCTTACTCTAATTCTGAAATATTTTGAAGTTAATATTTAATGTAAAATATGACCTAGTAACTATTTCTCAGTTGTTTCTTACTCCTCAGAAATTGTGTCTTTGCATTTGTTCCTAGGGAGATTGAGAAATAAAGATCTACAGGAATCCACATGTTAGGTGCTTTTCTTTGTTCTTTATTAAGACTAAGAATGAGGTAAGAAGAGTAAAGAAGATCAGAGATCAGTAATTTGTTAGAATTTCAGCTTTAATTGGTCAGGAACACCTAGAGCTTGTTTCCACTCACATAGTTAAATGCCTTATGTTTTTCGTTGCTCTGTCCTTCAGTTTTTCAGGTGCGGATCCAAAGTTTGCTGATGTCACCAAAGCAGTATATATCAACATTTTTTACATAGTGAGGCAGTTAAGGGCGCAATTTCTAACAACAGACCTAGATCAAATTCTAATACTTTCTTACACTCTTCACTAAAGGAACTGACTCATTTCTCTATTATCTGATAATTATTTCATAACTTATAAAATTATGACCAATATCTTTATTATGTGAAAGTTTAAGATTCACTTTTCATTATATATAGCTAGAATCATTGAGTTGTAGACTTCTCTCCACTTACAATCCATGTAACTACGAACAGAGTACTTAACTTTTTTAAATGTTATTTTATTTCTCTGTAAAATTGAGACATTAAAAAATATGTAATAACATGGTTGTAAAAATGTGGTGAAGAATTTAGAAATTCTTCTTCAAAAGTAGTCTCTGATGATTAGCATAGTTGAAAAACTGCTGACCTATATGATGTTCATGTCAACCCAACAGTTCCATGAAAAACTGAGTCATAAGAGAGTAAATGAAACTTCTTAGCTAGATGATTTTAGGCTTTTTAATCTGTTTGGATAATATTCCCACTGACTATTCAATTAATTTAATCTAATTTCATAAATACTGGATGTTTTCCTTGTTTCAAGCATATACTTGTGAAAAAGACCTACACAGGTTACAGTTGACCCCAAGTCCTAAATAAAATCTTGTGATGCATTCTGAATCTGAATAAGGCTTGCTGTTGTCACTTAAAATTTTGTGCATTACGTACATGTATTTATTTTTAACTAAATGTTAGTACAATTATTATAAAAACCTATATATACAACCTTTCAAAAGTGTCTGTGTAGAGAATTATTTAAGCAGAATATGGATTTTGCTCCTTTATGCAGCCTAATTTTAACATGATGTGTACTTAAGTTATACTCAAATGTATATTTTCTATTCTGCATAATTTTGATGAAAATACCAGGTTTAGAATTTTCCTAATAATGTATTCCACTTACCTTAGTAAGTATACAGCCTCCTATGAGATCAACTCTATCAATAAACACTAAATATCTCCCTAAGGACTCTTTTTTATGTTATCACTTTATAATATAATACGAAGTGATCATGTTTTTCTGTAAGCTGATTTGCATTCAACATCAAGCTTACCTATTCCCCTGAGTACTTTTAAAAGTACTGTTATAACAGCTGGGCTAATAGTTGAAGAATCAAATCAAAGTTTCAATCTTTGTATCTATGCATGCATGTGATAGTGTACATGTGTATATCCCTGGGCCCAGAGATCTCTTTGTTGTAATGTCTTATTTATCTAGGAAAATTAGGCACATTGTTTCTCTATAAACAAGAAGCAAAGACTAGAAAACAAAACTGTAGGAAAATTTTAGAACAAGGAAAGCATTGGTCTAATGAAGTGAATAATAGTTTTTCACATGAATAAATAATTGCAGCATCTACTTGCTGCTCTGTTTGATTGCAAGAACTGAGGTGAACTATTATAACTACAAGATTTTCATTGTATTGCATGCAATGTGATGGTCTCCAAAATGTCATACAGGATGATCCAACATTATCAACTCAGTGTAATTGTTAAAGAATAGCCATTTCATTCTTTTCTTTGTTGAGATCTATCTTGCCATCCCATGGCCTACTTGAAAAAAATTATCTCTCAAATATCTCCAGGATACATACATGGACATCCCAATACTCTGATGTTTTAATGATCAGGTCCAGGAATGGCTTTACCAACCCCTGTTATGGGATTCTCACTCTTTACACTTAGGCTTTCCTAATTGTTTTTAGTTACAGCTCAACAGCTTTGACCATGTTATTTCTGAAAATCCTTCTTATCGTTTTCTGAAAAATTCTTATTCATCTTTTAAGGCTTTCTCCATGTTCATCTTCCCCAGGAATTCTTCACTGAACTCCAGGTGGGGCTATAGATACCTTTTTTCTTTACACTGGGCTTGTGTTATTAAAGGAGATCGAGACCATCTTGGCTAACACGGTGAAACCCCATCTCTACTAAAAATACAAAAAAAAAATTAGCCGGGCGTGGTGGCGGATGCCTGTAGTCCCAGCTACTCTGGAGGCTGAGGCAGGGGAATGGCGTGAACCTGGGAGGCGGAGCTTGCAGTGAGCCAAGATCGCGCCACTGCACTCCAGCCTGGGCGACAGAGCAAGACTCCGTCTCCAAAAAAAAAAAAAAAAAAAATTATCTGTTATGTGTTTTCTTCATTCGACTCTTCACTCCAACACCTAGGGTTCTTTCTCATATTTACACTTCAAAATGTTTATTGAACTGAGAATGATTTAAGAACGTAGATGAAGTCCTTGACAACACACCTGAATAAGAAAGCACATTTTGTTTTGCTGCTGGTACTTGATTATACTTGAAATGATAGAAGCCTTCAAAATCAAGGAAAACACAGGAATTTTCAGTAGAATTAGTTTTTATTTTTCTTCTGAAATTTGGTGGCTCACACCTGTAATCCCAGCACTTTGGGAGGCTGAGGCGGGCAGATCACGAGGTCGAGACCATCATGGCTAACACGGTAAAATCCCGTCTCTACTAAACATACAAAAATTAGCCGGGCATGGTGGCGGGCGCCTGTAGTCCCAGCTACTCGAGAGGCTGAATGAAGCGGGAGAATCGCTTGAACCTGGGGTTGGAGGTTGCATTGAGCCGACATCGCGCCACTGCACTCTGGCCTGGCAACAGAGCAAGACTTCGTCTTAAAAAAAAAAAAAAAAAAAGTAATTAACTTAGAGGCAAGCTGAAATCAATATAAATTTCATCTTAGATGGCACAAAAAAGATATTTCCAAATTAGATAGGCATAGTACATAAAAGAGTAGCCTGTCATTTTGCTATTTGCTAGAGTTTGGGTTTATTCGCAAATGACCTGATTTCTCAGTTATTTGTTAGCTACATGCAATTGGCAAGTATAGCTCCTTAAACCAGAATTGTGGAAAGTCGTGCTATAATAGATGAGGTCAGCAGCCTGGCTAAACTTCAAAACAAATGAGAAGTTCATAATTCTAAACCTGGGAATGTTGACGCATAAATTGGCTGTTATGAATTTATGAAAGCATCATGATATTATATTTTCTATATGGGAAGTGTATGCAGGAAAACTGTAGAGTGAAAAGGGCTTACTGTAGAGTGGAAAGGGCTTACTGTAGAAGGAACCAACTAGTCTGATTGGCAAAAGCTGGGAAGAGTTTTCTGCAGAGCCAACATTTACGCTGAAACCTGATATCTTGGATATTATTTAGCAGTATCTCCATCTGGCTAAGAGATGGACTATACTCATTATTTTTCCCAAGTTAGTCACCTGGAGGTGATGAATGATTTTTTTTGGTTGATGAGCTACTGGGGAAGAGGAGACCAAGGAGATTCTGGAGCCTGTTAGGTATGTAAGGCTAGTAAAAGGAGGGATGCAATATTTTGGCAAAGTAAGAAGATTATGCATCCTTAAAAAGATAACTAAATGGTCTTTATTGTTCCTACTCTGGTTAATTATTTTCTGACAATTAATATGTATCATCCTTATTAGACTTTAATTATAATGCAAATTAAGAATTGCAAAGCATGATTTTCCACATGACTTAATATGTAACACCTGTAAGCTCTTTGAGGACAGGGATCATGCATTATTTGAATGTCTCACACGAGGAATGCCTCAACAGATTTAACTTCAAGCAAAATGTATACAAAATGAAGTATGACTTTGTGACTTCTATTAGGGCATAATACTGAGTAATTAAATAATACACTGTTTCTAGTTAATATCAACAATATACATTTCATTGGTTTCACAACTGCTTAGGAGGAATGGGTTTTGAGATGGTTTTGTAACAAATAGTAGTCCAATTAATTCTTTAGTACAGTTAAAAAGGTTTTGTCAATAGAAAAATGAGTGGGCCGGGCATGGCAACTCACACCTGTAATCCCAGCACTTTGGGAGGACAAGGCGGGTGGATCATGAGGTCAGGAATTTGAGACCAGCCTGGCCAATATGGTGAAACCTCATCTCTACTAAAATATACAAAAATGAGCCAGGAGTGGTGGCACGTGTCTGTAGTCCCAGCTACACGGGAGGCTGAGGCAGGAGAATTGTTTGAATCCAGGAAGTGGAGGTTGCAGTGAGCCGAGATCACGCCACTGCACTCCAGCCTGGGCAACAGAGTGAGACTCTGTTTCAAGAAAAATAATAATAATAATAATAATTAAATAACAAAGTGTGTTTTCCCCCTTGAGCATTATATTTAAAAAATAAGGCCAGATTCTTATAGATAAAAGATAAAATAAGAGATAAAGTTAGGTTATCCTATTTTCCTGTTCTGTCATAAAGACAAACTGAAATACATTTAAATTTCACTTTTTAGATACAGGATGGTCCAAATGATATAGTCCTAGTTTAATTATTGAAAAGCTAGAGGCATAAATATGCTATGTTGAAGAAAATATACATAATACATATAATGGATAATATTTGTATTCTTTTATGGTTATAGGAATAAGATAATTGGTTGATTATCTAATATATGGCATGCCCTTTAGAGATGTTATCCCATTTAATTCCTGTAATAATATGAAGAAGAGATATTATCTGCCTTTTTAATATGATGATTAGAAGTATCAGGAATTTAAGTAACATAAATTCACAATTACACAGCTTCTAGATGTTAAAAATGTAATTTGAATTTAGGTTGCCTGACCTGAAAGTACAGACATTGCTTTAATCACAAAATTGCTGTCTATCTAGATGGTAAGAAACCTAAATAACATTTGTGACACTGGATATGACATGTTGCTTAATTATATATACCAATGTAAAGACATTGTTCCGCCTTTGCACTTTTTATTTTTGAAAACATTAAAAGTCAAATTCTTCTTGCTCAATAAATGGCTGTATTAAAGAAATGCCATTGAAAAGCCAGCTGGAAGAGAATGAGGTTAAAGCTGTGGTTCTCAGGAGGAGGTGGGGGAATGTTGCATTCCAGGAGACTTTTGACTATTGACTGTTACAATGTATGTAGCGGTGGGATGGGTAGGGAGAGGTGCTCCTGGCATCCAGTGAATAGAGCCCAGACATGCTGCTAAACATCTTACAATGCACAGGATAGACCACAGCAACAAAGAATTATCCAACCCAAAATATCAATAGTGCTGAGGCTGAAAGAGAGGGTTAAAGCCTTTGTATGGAGCCTACACAAAAAGAAGTAGGGGACTCTTTTTGTCTGTTTATTTTGGTTTGGATTTCTGTTGGATTTAAAGATCGGTTGCTACCAGCATTACTTCCTTGTAGGATACTGGTTGTCTTCTAACAAAGACATCTTCATTTTTAAAGACCTTCATTCTTGTGATTGGAATTTTAAATCCTGTGCAAGTTAAGGAAATGTTCTCTTACATGTTAAAATTGAACACAGTTTATTCTTTACTGCAGAAATTTCTTCCTCATTCAGTACCTGACAAAGCCACTTATTGTTTCTTATAAGATTTCCTGATCCTTGAGACACAAAGCGATGCTTGAGTGCATCTTTTGAATTAGCAGATTTTGGGGAGTGTATGCAAGACGAGTAATGAAGTTAGAAAGTAATTTAAATCTAAAAAGAACTCAATGGAGTTTATTTAGAAAGAAAATGGTTTAGAAGATACTATTCTTTTAAAAAAATTGGTTTTATCATGTCTGAAGAGTATACACAGATATGATTTTTCTTTCAGACACATGTGTAATTCCTATCATGGTAATATGTTGAATTTAACATTTATTTAATGCTTAGTGTTTACAAGGAGCCAAGAGACACATTTGTCAACATCTGCAAATGGCAAGATATTCCACAGCAAATAGAATTGTTTGTGTGAATGTTAATGTAAACCTGTAAAGGACACAACTCTTTTTGAGATGCGATTGTATCAATATTAATGTAAGAGGTTTTCTATCATACATTTACCTCATGTGCTCTACCTAAAAACAAACATCTCTTGCTGCAATATGGATATTGATGTCACAACCTGACAATTTAAATTAGATAGTTCTGCTTTGTTACGAGAAACTATCAAACTCGGATGCAGGCTTCTAATAGATGTGGGGCCCCTAGAATTGTTGTCCATTTCTTGTCCTATAGAACCTTCCCTCTATTATCTGGCATATTAATAGCAATTTCTCCTTGCTGCTCAGTATCACAAACTTGCCCAGAGGCAAGGAAGCAAAAAGAGGCTGTCTTCTTGGAATTTGAGGGTGGGGACAAAATATATGAAGACAATTTTATGTCTGAGTGAATTATCTTGCCACAGGTGCTATATTTACTGGTACAGTAGAATTGCTCAAATTTTATATTAGCTGGTGGATATATTTTCCATTGTCACAAGGCCTATTCTGGATGCCATACAATTGTTCAATACCCAACAATGCATGGTAAAGCCATATGTATGTATTTCAAAAAGCAATAGTACACTGTACAAAAGTGTGAGAGGACTGGTCTATTAAGATCAGTTTAAAGTTGGCATTTTAGGCCCTCTAAGATGGACATTAAAGTATGCAGAACTGATCCAGCCATCTGGAGGGCTGAAAAAAAAATGATTATTATCCCTGAAAGTTGTTAATCTCTGAAAATCTGCCAAACACCTGAAGAAAACTGCTAGGAGATTCTACCCTCAAACACAGACCCAAATAGGCTGTATTGGTCACCATTCCATTTTTGAAAGCTAGCCGGCTAAAGGAAAGATATCATTTAGGAATAATGGCTCCAAGAGTAAATTCTCCAGGAAATCAGACATCTAATTAGCTAGATCATTTGCTGGGCACAGAATGTCAGGAGTATCAGTTTCTTTTTTATTTTTTTAGGAGTATCATTTCTATTAATTTATTGTTATAAATTTATTCTTGACAAAGCAGGGTTTTTTTTGTTTGTTTGTTTTTGCTGTTTTTTTCTATCCACTCCATTGGGACTAAGAACCAACCTATGTTTCAGTTACTTGTGATACACCTAAAGTATGTATGAGATGAGAGCGCTTGGAATGTGACATAAACTAAGGTGTAATTCAGTATTTCAGGACAATAACTTCCTGAGGGATGCCACGCTGGGCTCATGAACCAAGAGTACATGACTGACTTAGGTGAGTCAAGCAGATGCGGATGTGAGCCCTCAAGCACAGAAACCTGCTCAGTGAGGCAGGGAGAGGAATGAAGGAAAATGATGTGGCCACAGAGCCTAGATATAACCAGCAGGCAGTTTAGGCACAGGCTTTGTAGGGCAAAACTTCCTGGGATCCCAATTCCAAAAGCTGTCTGTACCAAGATACTGGAGCAGGCAGGGAGAATATCCAAATGATGGCCCAACACTCACGCAGGTGGCAAGACCTCTACCAAGAGACAATTTTGGTACCAGATCGAACTTCAAGGAACTGGCATGGGCCAGGTAAAGTCACCTGAGAGGAGGGTAGTGGTGGAATACAGAATGTAACAGTCTCTTAGTACATAGGAAATGGAGCTGCTGAAGCACAGGAAAAGGACAACATGATGTGGTGCGGGGACCACTGCCCCTTCACTGGTATGGACCATCTGGGTCACCTTAGCATCAGCTTCCTTGATCTGATGGCCGTAAAAATGCCTGGGCCTAAACTAGGTGCTCACTATTGGGTTTGCCATTCTGACTTCATTCCAGGCTTCAGCTCCCATCAGAAATGAAGGGGCAGGAGTTTGGACACAAAGGCTTTCAGCAAGTGTTAACTTATCTTGGAAAACGAATAGTCTCATCTAAAAGGTGAATTTATGTGAGGTACAAAGGAAGATAGAGTCTGGAGGTGGGGTGACATTCTGAGTAAGTCGTTCGATGCCCCAAGAGAGAAGGTTGCGATAACAGTACAAGGCATTTTCTTATGTTTGTTGGTGGGCTTATGTTTCTGTTTTAGATTCATCTGTATTGATCTATAGTGATGCTCAAATGAAGTATGTGGCTCTGTGCACAGGACAATTCCCTGAAGTGTGTCCTCTTTTGTGAATGTATTGTGCTTCTTCGAAGAGCCCTTTATGACTTTTCCACATCACATTGATTTTTTCCTTTTTAAAAATTTTGTAATGCAGCTAGAAAAATGTAATTGAGTGTTTAAACAATCCTTGCTTCATAGTCTCTAAATGTTTCAAATATGTAATTCTTGTTTTTTTAAAACACTTGTAAGGGGGGCAATCTGTTGCTTTTTTCTTCTAGGAGGCCTAACAGTGTTTGGCTAGACATGTGATCAAAACATCTTGTTTTTTGATCGATCGATTATCTGCTTGAATCAAAAATCTGTCATTGACTGGAAACACGTATTAATTGTGTGACATTGTACTCAGAAAACAGTAGACTGAAAATCGATGACTAAGAGTTCTAATCCTAATTCCATATAAGTTTTTTTGTGACCTGAACAAATGATGATTTTTAGGTTACTTATCTGTAAAATAAAAATGTGGTAAAGGGTTTACAGTTAGAATTAATTATATATGAAAGCAAACTTTCAGATATTTAGACAGACTGAAATGAGAGGAAACTAGATCTTGCTACTGGTCCCATTTTGAGTAATGTTGTTAAAAATAATCTACAAAGCAATTTGATACCCTGAAAAATAGAGCGTGAATCGAAAAGAACTTTCCTTAATATTATCAACGTGGGGATTTACTTGGAAGCATTTCCCCATGTTCACATTAAATTTTCTAGAAAACCAATGAAAAAGTGAACTATATAGCAGTCCTGTGCAATTTGAAAAACTACATCTGCATCTTCTAGAGTCTGTTACTATAATACTTCACAGCATTTTACAATCAGTATCTTTAGTGCTATAACCTAATGAGAACTATCTGGTGAGTGTGATTAGAGGTAAAGAATGTCTGACCTTGTAATCATGGAATTATTTTTCTAATAATGCCTTCAAATGTATTTGAATGGAAGTTATTATTACTAAATGAAATAATCTTAGAATCACAGAAATCATTATACCACTTTTTAAGCAAGCATTCACTGACTAGGAAGCATTAAAAGGTTTTTTTGTAATTTGTAAAGTGATGAATATTAGTATAATAAAGAAAGTAGAAGTAGCCTAAGCTGATGTCTCCTTTTTTAGTTATATGATAGTCATTTAAAAATTCTGAACCTGGGGCCGGGTGCGGTGGCTCATGCCTGTAATCCCAGCACTTTGAGAGGCCGAGGTGGGCGGATCATGAGATCAGGAGATCGAGACCATCCTGGCTAACACGGTGAAACCCCGTCTCTACTAAAAATACAAAAAATTAGCTAGGCATGGTGGCAGGAGCCTATAGTCCCAGTACTCAGGAGGCTGAGGCGGGACAATGGTGTGAACCTGGGAGGTGGAGCTTGCAGTGAGCTTGAGATTGCGCCACTGCACTCCAGCCTGAGCGACAGAGCGAGACTCCATCTCAAAAAATAAATAAATAACATAAAAACAGAAGAAAAAATTCTGAACCTGGTTCTTTACCTGTTTACCCCTTCGCTCCCCTATTTCTCCAGACATAGCAATATGAAACGGTGAAGAAATGCTTCTCATCCAAATTTATAACCTTTTTTGTCTTGCTAAGTTTCAGATTCAGTATCTTCATGGAAAAACTTTGAATTAAGCTTGAACTCTGATATGGCCATGTCATGTGGCTTTATGTTTTTACAGAAGAGGTATGTTTGTGTTGCTGAGGTGGTAGTTGATGATGATGATGATATTTTGGTGGTGTAAAACTTGAAACGCTTATCTGAATTTTTTTCTCATCAAGAATGGTATATTTTTATGTTATAGCAAGTGAAGAATATCTTTTTCAATGATTATGGGTTAGGGGATTATGGACTTTTTAATTTTCATCTTTTGCACTTATATGTATTCTCCAAATTCCCTTATTTTATATATGTACACATGAATGCAATATACACACACACATATTGCTCTAATGCTAGGAAAAGGAAAATTTATTTTGGTGTTTTAAAAGCATCTAAAATAAAGGGAAGGAAACATAATGTTGGAGATTCATGAATGCATATAGTGCTCATACTAATGATCATTCTGAGAAATTAATTTTGTTCTAAATGAGATTACTTCTTTTTATCTCTACTCAGTTCTATAGTTACTGCACAGCATTAATCTATAATAGCCACGGGAGGTCACTGGCATTTTTTCTATGCAGCAGGATATCCCACTGGTCCAATGCTATGACACAGGTAGCTAGTGTGTAGGTTTAGACAATACTTCCTCCTCAAAACCCATCTGGATGGGCTGATTTATGTGGAGGCTGAGACATCTCTGGCAGTGGAAAAGACAAGACTTCTGTCAATGTTGGACTTTGAATAGGTACAACATATCTAATTGGATGCGGTTGTGAGGTACTGTGAAAAAAGCAAGATTATAGGCAGGGCTGAACTCGTCATAAAGAATGAAGTCTGTCATAGTCAGCAGGATGATATAGCCGTGTGTGGCAACAGGTAAAGTGAACCAGGCAGGTATAAATATTTGAACAGGAAAAATCTCATGTTTCCTGGGTATGGGTCCAAGTATAAAACTTCTAAATCACAGCACAGCAGCAAGTGTTTGCCTTTCAGAGGAGCTTTTGTGGACAGGATGGGCTGACAGCAATCTTTGACTGACCTAATCTTTGGAGATCTGCACGTCAGTGGGTTCAGGGGCTGAAATGATCCCCTGGGGCCAGTGGTAGAGTCCGGGTGTAGTTATAAGAGGAGAGCGCCAGCCTCAGTTTTTGTATTAATGGTGGTGGCAGCCCTGCAGGAACAAGGGCCTGTGCATCAGTGGTTCTCTGGCATTGTGTCTGGGAGAGAATGATCAACAAGACTGTAGTTGAGACTACAGTGTGACCAAATAAATTGGGCAGAGAGAGACACATGTAAGAGACTTCCATCTCTGATCTCTGGAGAAGCACAGAGACTTTTGTATTCCAATATAGATTGATTTTTATAAAAAGATGGATTTAAGGGGCTCATAGCCAGTCATCTCCAGTGTTGTAAATGGCAACCAAATATTTAGTAGAAATATAAATCCAATTACATCAAGCATTATTTAACTTACACAGTCACAGAATTCATCAGTGTTTCATTATTCTGACATTTTTTAAGGCCAAGTCATCAGGTTGTAAGAGGGAATTCATAAGGACAGAAAAACATAATCGTGCTACTTCCTTTGCTATTACATATAAGTAACAATGATAGCAAACATTTATACCCTTTAGATTTGTTATCTCACTGAATTATCTCTGTAACCTTATGAGGAAGGTGCTTTTTTAAATCACTATTTTATACATGGGAAAATTAAGGCAGATGGAATTTGAGTAATTTTCCCAGGATCCTACAGTTTACAAATGGTAGAAAAGGGATTTGAACTCAAGTAGCATGTGATTACCCACTATGTTATGCCCAATACTGGGAGAAATATGCTATGCTAGAACATGCTATATAACCAATAAATGGAATATTTATTTGAACTTTATGGTACTTTTTGACTGTGTTTAAATGATTTATTTAAATCAAGATTCCATCTGAGTTTCCCTACTACATAGTGCTTGTGAAGAGTTACAGTGACACTAGTTAACATGACTGAGTAGTTGGTGGCTTCTATTAGCAGTAAATTGATGACGTGACAACCTGGAATGAGAAGAAGGGTAGAAAACACAGAAAATGTTTGTTCTTTAAGAGTTTATGATTTTTTTGTTATTACTGTTAGGGAAAACACTATTATTGTAGTATGTTTTAATTAAAGATGAAATAAGATAGAGGTTTGTATCTATGATATCATATTGAGATTAATTCACTTAATGGTAGCAGTGCAGCAATCGATAAATGCTTTGACTTTGTACTAAGATGAAAGTCTTACTTGGATAAAAACTTACAGAGCTGATTTTGTTACCTTAGGAAAGGCGGAATGATTTAAGCTTGGCAAATGCATCTAAAATAAGTGTTCATTATTCTATTTAGGTAAAGCTGGAGGGATTTATCTGGTGATGTGCTTTATGACTGTCCTTGGCTCTGTCTACCTCAACAATTTAATAAATAACAGAATGAGGACATTGGTTGCAGAGTGATCATATTTATGCTCTATCCATTCACTTACACAGAAATTCATATTTACAGAGTACCTCCTATGTGTGCCAGGCACTATCTTAGGACATGAAATGCAGCAGTGAACAAAACACAAAAAATGTATTGCCTTCATAGATTTTTACATTAAAATGTGGAAAGAGAGTCACTCACACACAAAAAGGACAAACAAAACATATACCATATTAGAGATAGGCACTGTATACCATATTGGTGATAGGCACTATTAATAAAACGAATGAAGTGGGTAGAAAGTGCCAAGGGTTCACAATTTTTAATAGGGTAGTCAGGTAAGGCCTCGGGAGTTGTTGACATGTGACTAAGACTTCACAGATGAGGGAGTACATTATTTAGATATATGGGGGAAGAGCAGAGGGAACAAGTGCAAAGGCCTGAGGCAAGAAACATCAAGTGTGACTGGAGCTAAGTAAGCCAGATGTGATGTCAGAGAGGAACAGAGTGAGGCCGTACCCGCAGAGCTTTGCAAATCATGAAAAGATGTTGGCTTTACTTGTGAGTTAGTCAATGAAGTATTCAGAACAAAGGTGTTACATGACTTTACTTGTTTTTTAGATGGTGTGATTCTAGTTGATAGGGTAGAAAACCAATTGTAGGAAAAATAAATGATGGAAGTAAGGAGAGCTACTACAGTAATGCATCCAAAAGGTGATGATAACAGTAATTATTGAGGTGGTAGCTCAATTTCTGGATATTTGTTCATTATTGAGGTAAAATTTACATTATTCATACTGTGTACCAGGCACTGTTTTTTATGATATATTATGGTTTAAAAAAGACTTAACATGAGGTCTACAATCTTAGCAAATATTTCAGTGTACAGTACAGTGTTGTTAACTATAGGCACAACGTTGCATGCAGATCTCTAGGACGTATTCATCTTACATAACTGAAATTTTACACTCATTGAACAGCAATCTCTTATTTCCCCACCTCTCTTTCAGCCTCCAGCAACCACCATTCTACCCTCTGCTTCTAGGAGTTTTACTATTTTAGATTCCTCATATAAGTATCTGCCCTTTTCTGCCTGGCTTATTTCACCCTGCGTAAGGTGTTCAGAGTTCATTCATGTTGTCACATGGATAGGATTTCCTTCTTTTTTAAGTCTACATAATATTCCATTGTATGTATATCACATGTTTTTCCTACTCATCCATCAATGGACCTTTAAGCTGTTTTCACATCTTGGCTATTATAAGTAATGTTGCAATGGACATGTGAGGTCAAATATCTCTTTGAGATCCCTATTTTAATTCTTTTGGATAAATGCCTAGAAATGGGATATTTGGATTGTTTGGTACTTATAATTTTTCAAGGAACCCCCACACTGTTTGCCATAGAAGATGCACTGTTTTACATTCCCATCCACAGTGTACAAGAGTTCCAATATCTCCACCTCTTTATCAATACTTGTTATTATTTGTTTCTTGGTAATAGACATCCTAATAGGTACAAGGTAATATATGAATAGGTTTTAATTTACCTTTCCTGATGATTAGTGATATTGAGCATCTTTTCATATACACGGTGTTCATGTGTATATCGTCTCTGAAGAAACATCTATTGAAATCCTTTGCCCATATTTTACTTGGGTGAAATATGGCAAGAGGTGTGGCTATTTATTTGTAGTGATTCCTTATATATTTTAGATGTTAAACTTTTATTGGATATATAGTTTGTAAAAATTTTCTCTCATTCAAGACATTTCCATACAGTAGATTTCTTTCACTTTGTTGATTATTTCCTCTGTTCTGCAGAAGCTTCTTAGTTTGATATAGTCTTACTTGTCTCTTTTAGTGTTTAATGTCTGTGTTTTTGGTGTCATATCCAATAACTCATTGCCTAGACCAAATATCAAGGAGCTTCCTCCCTATGTTTTCTTCTAAGGGTTTTACAGTTTCAGGTATTCCATTTAAGCTATTAATTCATTTTAAGTTGATTTTTGTCTATCATATAAGATAGGGTTTAATTTCAATCTTTTGCATGTGGATACTAGTTTTCCTACCACCATTTGTTTAAGAGGCTATTCTTTCCTGATTAGATACACTGGCAATCTTGTCAAAGATCAGTTGACCACATATGGATGAGTTTATTTCTGGACTCTCTGTTTTGTAATATTGGTTTATATGTCTATCTTTATGCCAGTACCATACTATTTTGATTATTTTAACATTGTCATGTATTTTGGAATCAGTAAGTACTGTATTTTGAAGTCTGAGGCCTCAAAATTTATTTTTCTTTCTCAGGATTGATTTTGGCTTTTCATGGCCTGTTGTGGGTTTCTAGTGAATTTTAGGATTATATTTCCTATTTCTGTAAATTATGCCATTGGAATTTTGATAGGGATTGCATTGATTCTGCATATTGATTTGGGTGGTTGGACATTTTAACAATATTAAGTCTTCCAGTCTTTGGACTTTTGATGTCTATTTGCTGTGTTTTTTAAAATTTCTCTCATCAATGCAGTGTTTTTTTGTAAACAAGTCTTTCACCTCCTTAGTTTATTCTTACATATTTTATTCTTTGTGGTGCACCTGTAAATGACACTGTTTGCCTAATTACCTTTTCAGATAGTTTTTTGCTAGTATACAGAAATGAAACTGATTTTTGCTGGTTGATTTTGTATCCTGCAACTTTACTAAATGAATTTATTTGTTCTAACAGTGCTTTTTCTGGAGTCTCTAATGTTGTCTAAGATCATTTGTCTATGTGTCTATAGACTTTAGTGTTGTCTATGTATAAGATTATGTGTATATATGAATACATATATACGATCATGTAAGATGGAGTCGGAATATTTTAGTTCTTTCTGTTTTTGATGTCATCAGTTTCTTTTTCTGGCACAGTTGCTCTGGAGAGAACTTCTAGTAATATTCTGAAAGAAGTGGTGAGAGTGGCATTCTTGCCTCATTCCTGATTGTAGAGACAAGCTTTCTGTTCTTGTTAAGTCTGATATTAGTTGTGGACTTTTCATATATCACTCTTGTTATATTCAGGTAATTTCCTTTACTTCTCATTTTCGAGGGTTTTTATCATAAGAAGGTGTTGAATTTTGCCAAATTCTTTTTGTGCATATGTTGAGATGATCCTGTGATTTTTATCCTTTATTCTGTTGATTTGCTGTATCACGTTAACTGATTTGGGCATGTTGAACATCCTTGCATCACAGGAATAAATGCCGCATAATCATCATCTATGATCCCTTTAATGGGCTGTGGGATTCCATTTGCTAGTATTTTTTGAAAATTTTTGCATCTATATCCATCATAGATATTGGTGTGTAGTTTTCTTGTGGTTTCTTTGCCTGGCTTTGATATCAGGATAATTACCAGCCTCAAGAATTGAGTTTGTAAATGTTCCCTCATTTTCTTTTTTTTTTTTTTCCAACAGCACATTGAAACAATATTTTACTATTATCGAGTGCAGTTTATCCCAGGGATGTAAAGATAATTTGACACAGGCACATCAATAAATGTGATGCATCACATTAACAGAAAGGACAAAAACCCTCTGATCATTTCAAAAGACACATAAAAAGTATTTGACAAAATTCAGCATATACTCATAATAAGGAAAAATTGTGTACTTGATTAAATGGTTTCTGCTGCTTTTTTCTCTTTTCTTTTTAAAAATAATTTCAACTTTTATTTTAGTTTCAGGGAGTGCATGTACGGATTTTTTGCATGGGTATATTTTATGATGCTGAGGTTTGAGGTACAGATGACCCTGTGTGATGAGCATAATAACCAGTAGGTAGTTTTTCACCCCACATCTCCTTCTTCCCTCCTTTAGTAGTCCCTAGTGTCTGTTGTTTGCATATTTATATCCAAGTGTACTCAACATTTAGCTCCCACGTATCAGTAAGAACATGTAATTTTTGGTTTTCTGTTCTTGCATTAATTTGCTTAGGATAATGGCCTCCATCTGCATCCGTGTTGCTGCAAAAGACATGATTTCATTCTTTTTCATGGCTGCATAATATTCCATGGTGTTTATGTACCACATTTTCTTTATCCAACCCACCATGAGTGGGCACCTAGATTGAGTCCGTGTCTTTGCTATTGTGAATAGCGCTGAGATGGACATGCAAGTGTATGTGTATTTTTGGTACAATCATTTATTTTCCTTTGGGTATATATCCAGTTCCCTCATTTTCTATTTCATATTTTAAATATTTGGTAGAATTTAGTAGTGAAGTCATCTTATCCTGGGCTTTTATTTTTTGAGAGGTGTTTGATTACTGATTCTATTTCTTTATGATGTAGTTTTGATATGTGTGTTTCTAGCAATTTGTTCATTTATTCTGGATTATGTAATTTGTTAGGGTATAATTTTTCATACTAGTCTCTTATGTGATCTAACATATGAAATACTCTGGAGAAAGATGCATGTCTGAGAAGAGTGTGTATTCTGCTCCTGTTTGGTAGAATGCTCTTTAAATGTCAGGTCCATTTTTTCTTTAATGTTATTCAGATTATCTGTTTTCTTATCGATCTGTCTGGATGTTGTGTCCATTATTGAAAATGAGGTGTGAAGTCTCCTGCTATTATTGTATTGTGGTCTATTTCTCCTTTCAGTTCTGTCAATGTTTGCTTTATATATCGAGGTGCTCTGATGTTGAGTGCATATATATGTTTATCATGGCCCTATCTTCTTGACGCATTGACCCTTTTATCATTATAAAAGCTTTTTCTTTGTCTCTGAAATAGTTTTTGACTTAATGGTCATTTGTCTGATGTACCCCTACTCTCTTTTGGTTATGATTTATAATATATGGGATATCATTTTCTATCCCTTCACTTTCAGCCAATGTGTGTCCTTAAATCTAAAGTTTCTTTTTTTTAATCTGTTCAGTCACTCTATGTCTTTTGATTAGAGAGTTTAATCCATTTAAAGTAATTATTGATAGGAAAGGATTTGCTATTGACATTTTGTTAGTTGTTTCTTATTATTCTTACAGTACTTTTGTATGTCTTCCTCTCTTGTTTTCCATTGGGTTTTGTTGGGGTTTTTTTTGGTATTGTTATGCCTCAATTAGTTTTTTGTTCTTGTTGTTTTGTGTAAATTTTACAGATTTGTATGTGTGTGTGTGTGGTTACCTTGCTACTTACATAAAATATCTTACAACTGTCTACTTTATGCTAATAAGTTGAATTGCATACAAAAACTTACAATTTAACTTCCTCCCCAGAACATACTTTATGTTATTATTTTCAAAATCTATTCATATTATTTATCTTTTAATAATTGTGTTTGTATCTTTATAGTTTTCAAAATAATTTTTTCTTTTAACTTTTATGCTAGAATTAAATGTGTTTTACCCACCACCATTACAATAATACAATATTTTATATTTGTGTATATATTTACTTTTCTCAACCAGTTTTATACTTTCTTATGCTGTCATGTTGCTGTTTAATGCCTTTTCATTTTGAATTGAAGAACACCACTTAACATTTCTTGTAAGGCAGGTCCGGTGTTGATGATCTCCCTCAATTTATTTTGTTTGGAAAAGTCTTTATCTCTCTTTCATTTTTAAAGGACAGTTTTTGCCAGGTGGAGTATTATTTGATGACAGTTTTATTTTTCTTTTTCCTTCAGCACTTTGAATATATCACCTCATCTTCTGCCCTACATGGTTTCTGTTGATAAATTTACTCATAGTCTCATGGATATTTCCTTGTATGGGACTGGTCACATTTTCTTGATGAATTCAAAATTCTCGTTTGTCTTTGACTTTTGATAATTTGATTATAATGTGCCTCAGTGTGTATTTCTTTGAATTTGTCTTATTGATGTTCTTTGGATTTGTGGATATGGATGTTCATTAACTTCCCCAGATTTGTGAAGCCTTCAACAATTATTTCTTTGAATAAGTTTTCTGGTTGTTTTTCTCTATTATCATTAAGAGACTTCCATAATTTGTATATTGGTCTGCTTGCTGGTATTCCATAAATTTCTTAAGCTTTCTTTAAATTTTTTTCTATTCTTTTTTTCTCTTTTTACTCCTCCGAGTTATTTCCAGTGACTTCTATTCCAGTTCGCTGATACTTTCTTCTGCTTGATCTAGTCTGCTGCTGAACCCCTTTAGTGCATTTTTCAGGTCACTTGTGTTCTTCAGCTTCATGATTTTGGTTTAGTACTTTGTAATATTTTCTCTTTCTTTGTTGAAATTCTTACTTTCATTGGGCTCTCAACCTTATGAAAGTTATTTTTAATTCATTGTCAGGTTAACCATTTCATTAGGGTTGATTTCTGGAAGTTTATCTTGTTCCTTTTTTTGGAGCATCTTAGTCGGATTCTTCATTTTTCTTGACTCTCTCTGTTGGTATCTGCACATTAGACAAAGCAGACACCTCTATCAGTCTTTACTGACTTGACTTGTACAGAAGGCTCCCACCAATCAACCTACCCAGGGATTCTGGTGGCCTCTATCAACTCTTTTCCTCCCACAGGAAGGGAAGGCTTTTGTCAGCTTACTCTGTGATAAACTGAAGCTATGGTGTCTATAACCCACTGTTTCTATTTTTCCTCAGGTGGCTAGATTGTGCCATCTCCATCAGAGCTTCAGGACTCACAAGGCAGAAGCTAGTTGTTTAGGAAGCCCTAGAGATATTGTAGCATTGGATACACAGATCAACTCTTTCCTTTCCAAGAAGAAAGCTGAAAAAAAATTGGGATTTTTTTTGTTTGTTCGTTTGCTCACTCTGTGCTGAGCAGTGGGGAGTATCAATGGCCTGTACCAGCCCAAGATGTTGCCTGCATTCTTCCTCAGGTGTCTAGACTGTGCTGGGCCCATCAGAGCTTCAAGGCTAGCAAGGCAAAGGCCAGTTCTCTGTGTCCCCCCGCCCCGACTCCCCACCCTGCTTCCTTGGAAATGCAAGGGAACTGAACATGGGATCCAAGCCCTTACCTCCCCTGGGTGAAACCAGGAGCTTGGGCATCTCTTTCTGATCTTAGGGAACCACACTGAGACAAGGGTGTCTGGTGAGAGGGTGTTTCATATCTCTCTGTCAGCTTCAGTGAGTCTGGTTTTGCATTCTCCCAGGATGCAGGAACCTTTCAATTAGTTTCTGATTTCCCACACAGGGAATTCTTCCATCAATTGTGGCTGAATCGATATGCTTGTATGAAGAAGGAGAGTCTAGGATTTCCTGTTCTGCCATCTTGCTGACATCACTCTGCTACATTCTTGTATGATTAGTTTTGTAGGCATATGTTTTTATGTCTCTTGGGTAAATACTAGGAATACAATTGTTGGCATACAGAGTAGGCATGTATTTAACACTGTAAGGTATCTTCCAGTTTTTCAAAATGTTTGATTTTCAGTCTGACTAGCAATATATGAGATGTCAAGTTGCTCTGCATTCTAGCTAACGTGTTGTGTTGTCAGCCTTTTTAATGTCAGCAGTAGTGCTATGTGTGAAGTAAAATTTTAATGAGGTCTTAATTAGCATTTTCTGGATTTATTTTTTATGGACATTGAGTAGGTTTATGATGATTGGATATTGTTTCAAGGGAAAGAGTGGTAAAAAGGATGGCACAAGGGACATTTGGCCTTATCAATTAAAAAGTAGTATTGTCCATTAACAGAAATGGGGATGACTGAAATATATGCAGGTGGGGGCAGGAAAAGGAATATAAAAAATTCAGTATTAGGTGTGTTAATTTTATATTCCTATTAGATAAGTTCAAGTAGAGATGTCAAGTAGGAGGTTGGCTATATGAGTTTAAGTTCAGGGAAATATCTATTTGAAAATCATCAGCATATAGATGTTAATAAAGCCATGAGATTTGGTGAGATCACTAAGGGAGGAATTTTAAGTAGAAAAGAGCTGAGAACTAAGCCCTGGACTCCTCCATAATTGGACCCATTAAAAGAAACCAGAAAAAGATTTTGAGATTAAGTAGCCAGAGAGGACAGAAGAAACGAGAGAATGTGACACTCAGAAGCCCAATAAAGGAGAGTTTTCAATAGAGAAGTAGTGATTAATTGTGCCTGATATTGCCCAAAGGGAGGATTCTGCTACATTCTTAGGGAACAAAAGGTTGTGGTCAGAGGGTGGGATGCTTGAAGCTATAATTATATTCAGTTCTAGTTATTAGTAATGTAAAGGTCTGGAGAATGATGATTGAGACAGTGGCTCTATTAGGCTGAAGGACAAGATCACAGGAAGAAAGGAATTTAAGAGACAGGTCAGTTTGTTGGAAGCATGTTGGAACAAGTGATATGCAATTGGAAAAGCTTTTTAAAAATGTGTGTGTGTATGTATTTGACAAGCAAGAATAATAGGCTAAATCTGTCAATATGTCATTTACTAAGATTAAAAAAGGAAGTTTTGTATTGAGGTGTAATATATTAAATGCATCAGGGAAATAATTATTTAACGTTAGGCTATATATATGGAATTTAATGGATTTAGTTGACTGTGAACTTAGTAAAGCTTTGCCATTAGATTCTTAATGATTTCCAATAAATTTTTTCAAAAAGGACTTACAAAAAACATGGTTAGTCCTTATCTGTATTAAATAATTTCAGCAACCAAAGTAAGAAAGGCTGCTCCTCTTTACAAGCATAGGTCAGCCACACCTTAAATGTCATGTGCCTTCACATATTCTATATTGAGCATATCAAAGGAAGAGAGACTAGGATTATGAGCGAAGTTCAAGCCTTATCACATGACTATAGTGTTATCAGACAGACAATTTCATATATTTCCCTTGAGAAAAAAAAATTAAGGAAAAGTAAATGAGTGGCATTTTATATTCCTCCTTGAGCAGTAGTGACAGGAGAATGTAGAGATACCCCTGCTTGGCAGTATTAAGAATTTTTATATTTTAGTGATTGATAGCACTGCTTAATCAGCAATGTAATCCTTAAAAAATTTTGAAAATCAGTAAACGAGTTAACTTTATGGTGAAGACATCACATTTTCTGGATTCTAAGACACCATCAGTTACACCATATACCATTATTTTATGTAGCAAACTGCCATTATAATTATGATATGCCTTCATTTTTAAAACTCATTCTGATTTCAGAAATATTAAAATGTGAAAAAAGGGTTTTGGTATGTATAGTGATATGTAGCAATTAAAAACTGTAGCTCCTCAACTTTTTGTTTTGAATAATGTTGGTGTCTTAGTGTGCTATGTATCTTTCACATAATCCAAATCTACAAAAATATATTTTTGAAAACACATACTTTTTACTAAATATCAAATGCTTTTTTATATAAAATATTATATTTTATTATAGTTAGAAGATAGCTAATGCCTTCTCTGAATAACTTTTCAAAGCACGTTCAGCTCTTAGAGATCAGTAACAAAATTCTTATTGGGTTAATATCAGTTTTTCAGATAAAACGTTATTCTTCATTTGCTTCACTGATGCCATGTCTTTTGACTATTAGTAACAAAATTAAGTCTACATAAAGAATATGTTAGAGATACCATGTATCCTAATTACTCCACCTGGGGTTCCTTCAGCAGTTTGCTCTAAGTTGCTCTTTTGGCTGTGTTGTAAAGTAGTTCACACACTTGTACCTTCTGGTTTATGGGTGAATTTTGTCAGTGCATTCTATCTTTATTTGTAAGAGTTCTTCCTTGAAGTCAGATTAGGCTATCGCGGGAACAGCATGCTTCTAAGATGTTTGTGTAATGTTGATTAATGTGACATTGTATTGTAACTTTATGGTAATAATTCTTTATCATTTAAAAGCATCTTGAATTCAAGATGTTTTTACTTTAATGCAGATTTTCTTATGAAGGATCCTAAAAACTTGGATGCAATAATACTGCTGAAAAAAACATTGTTTTTGTTTTTGTTTTTGTTTTTTTGTGTGAATATGCACCAGAAAGCTGGACTTTAACCTTAAGTAAATTTAGTGGAGAGCAAAGAAGTGGCACTTCACGAAAGTGCTATGAAGCAGCTATTTCTAACATCAAAACATCCGGTAACTTGTAAGCTTCATAGTTTTCTAATTACTGAATGCCGGCTACATGTAACCATAGCCATTATATAATCATGTTTAAAGATGAGAGTAAAGGAAGTGGTAAAGATCTAGATAATATGTAATCTTATTTAGTTAATGTTTATGAATGATGCAGAAAAAATAATTTAAGAAAAACACTAAGCCATAGATATACTCTTTCACAGATAGCCAAGTAGTGAAGGCATTAGGTACAGATCATTTTGGAAGTATGTACAGGAGAATACGGGATGGATATAAAATTCTGCTTATTTCTTAAAGTAATTAGCTATAAAATGCTTTTTTACTTTGAATTATTAACCTTTCTAATTATTTGCCTTCCCACCAAGAAAGGCATGAGAGGTAAAGGTGGGATGAATCAATTTCATATTTTTCAATAGCAAATTTGAAGTGAATTCAATTTTGGTTAAGGTAGAAAAACTTATTTCATAGAAAAATTCTGTGGGGAGGTCCAGGAGAAAAATTAATATTGTATTTGCATGCCATAGGTAGGATCACAGATGAATTTCAGTGGTACCCAATTACCTATATCTAAGCAAAAGGTAAAGCCATCCTTCCTAAATGATCTGTTTGATTGATAGCATCTTTCTCAATATTTTTGATTGTACAGGAAGAACGCAGCAAGGCAAAATGGTCAGCACAGGCAATGAATGAGACAGAAAGCTGACCTGAGCATCTGCCTGTGTTCTACTCTGTTGTAATTTTAGTTGCATCGGTATAATTCCATATTGGCATCATGCCGTCTTTCACTTTATTTTGCATTGTCATATAAAGCTACCATTAAGGCATATACTCTGTCCTAAATCTCATTTGATCTCTAAGTAAAAGGTCTTAACATATGTAACAAACCTGCACGTTGTGCACATGTACCCTAAAACTTAAAGTATAATAATAATAATAAAAAAAGAAAATATGTAGATGTAATTGGTTATTACATTCAAATTAAGTTCACATTATTTCATTATGATTTATGATTTAACTTGTGTTATGCAGTGATTCAATAGCTTTTCTTATTTTGTGCCTAGATTCATTATATTATTTTTTATAATCATATAATATTTATTCAATTTTATAAAATCTGTCATTATAACATCACATTGAGTAAACTCCCATGTGCAGACATTAAAACAGTTAAAGCAGAAAAAAAAAAAAAGCTATCAGGAAAGATGGCATACCTTAGGAGGTTTGCTAACTAAACTAAGGAAATCTGGTTCTCTTTCTCCTCAAGATACAGCCCTGTAGATAGCTGCAGATTTTTTTCAACTGAGGTCTTTGTGACATCAGAGTATTAGAGTATTTTCTTTCCTTCTTGTATTCTGGAGGTTTAAACAGAGCCCTGGGGATAAGGCATGATGCTATCATAGGAATAGATTCTTGTCACAAGGGCAGAAGGTTCATATGTCTTTTCTTTCAGGTCTTTTTCTTTAGAACTGATACTCTCATTTATTTATATCCAACCTTAATTTAAAAAGAGGAGGTATGGCTAAAAATATGCACACATTGCAATAACATAAAATGAATTAAAAAATCGGAATAAAAAGGAAACAACACTAGGAAACTCAAATGAAGCCGAGATTAAATTTAGAAAGTAGAAAGGGATGCTCTGCAATGTAAATTGGAATATTGCAAGTATTGTCTTTAAATAATTTTTTCACTTCTAAATGAAGAGAAAACAAATGATTATAAGATTTGAAGTGGTCATGCTATTAATACTAATACCTCGGGAGAAAACAAAAACAATTTTTGCATTCCAGTTCTCGTAGGGAGCACTGTGGTGAGGTTAACGGCATCCTCAATGATACCCTCTCCAGTGAGTACAATAAAAATTATTGTAGGCATTCTTCTTATTGTCTACATGTAATATAAGCCCAGGAGTGACAGCAACATGAAAACTCAGTAAAAAGCACGTTTATAAAACAGTGATCATCTGAAAACAGCAATCTCTGAGGACAGAGGTCTATAATTGTGTCATTTTGTTACTGGGATAAAAACTTAGAATATATAGAGGAGTAAATTGGCAAAGTCATCCTGTACAGGCCGGAGTAAATATTTTGGTTTTGGAGGTCATATGTTCTCCATCTCTACCTCTCAATTCTGCCTTTGTAGCATGAAAGAAACCATAGGTAATGTGTAAATGAATGGGTGTACCAATAAAACTTTAAGCAGTTAGATGGTGAGCCAGATTTGGTTCATGGACTGTCGTTTGCCAAATCTGATCTAGAGAAATAGGATTTTATTCACATTAGAGATTCATCTAGTCTGTAACTTCTCAGAGCAAATTTTTAATAAATATTTGAAAACAAAGATTAGAAATTCAAGTACATCTTTGAAATTAAAGACCTGAAAGACATTCTATTACCATGTAAGGGTACTATATGATATAGCTCCCCAACCAGAAAGTGGTTGATATCTTCATTTAAAAAGTAAAAAATTTAACCAGAGTTACCTCACCTCTGAATAAGGAAGGATGAATGAGTGTAATTAATCGGGGAACATTTCCCCCTTGCCCCAAATTCTGCATTCTCCAGAACAAATGTATGTTCCTATGTGACTCATGGAAAGTACAATAATAAATCATGTGCACCTGGGAATGATCACCCACCTACCAGATCTGTGAACATGAGCAAGTTTTTCTCACCTATTTTTAACTAAATCTCCTTATCAGGAAGTTGGGCATAATAATTTATTCCTCACAGGGTTGCTATAAGGCAAAATGTTTAGCCATTGGATGAATGATTGATATGAATCGATAGATCATAGTTTGGGCCCTAAAGAACATGCCAGAACTCCCAAACTCTTGCATATGGGACTGTATCTAACTCACAGACGTATTTGCTTTGTCCTGTGAAACATGGACTGTATAAGCATCTGTGATGCAAATGAGAAAAAAAATGGTAACTTTACATGAAAAAATACATTTTAGGGAAAAGAAAAACAAGTAGATCTGACTGCCCTGGGCCTGCTGCATTGAATTAAAACAGTCCATGTGAGCAAGGCATGTGGCCTCCAGTGTGCACAGCTGCTACCAGACACCTGTCACCCTGGAGCTCAGACTGGGCTCTGCTACCATTCACAGCCCAGCTTGTCCTGCTGTGTTGCTTTAGTAGTGTCCATAAGAAACAAATCCTTCTTGGTCCCATGTATATATCTTTTCTTTTTCTTTTGTATACCTGGCCTGCTTTGTTTTTTTTCTATTATGTTGTTCTTGTTAGGATCCCAGAGTAACGTAAAGTCAGGGGGTTATTAGTAGCTCTGTGATAAATGAATTCTCTAGTTAAGTAAGCTTAGGTATGCTTAAGGAAGCAAAGAAAACAGGTGTCTTCTGTGGGCCTCTCATTATCGTTTAATATATTAATGAACAGTTTCAGTTTCCAAGATAAGAGTACACCATACAGCAATCTCAAACTCATTTTGACAAATACATTTTTAAAAATTTTATTTTAATGCCCTATATGTCATGACCACTTAACTACTGACCACATTTTTCCCATGGAATGTGGTTTGGAAACAATGCTCTTTAAATCCTCACAGATCTTGTAATTTTAAAATAAACATCCCAGATATATTTGTTGCAAATGGTATCCACCAATTACCTGATAATTGAACCTACTTTATAACATTAGTGGATAATAATAGTATCAAGAGTAATATACTTAAGATTTATTGAAAACTTATAGGCAACAGGTAAGCACTTAGCTAGGTTATTTTATTTAATCTGCACAAAAATTCTGTAAAGTGGATTGTCTTATCCCTCTTCCATAAATGATAAAAATGAGGTAGAGTGAAGCTAAATAACTTGCTGGCAAGTAAGACAACTAAAGTCTTTTACCCTTACTCTTAGCTGCTGGATTTCACTGCCTTGACTTCATGCAGTAAGAGTTGGAAACATATGCTCTAAATTATATCTAAATTAGATTGATCTTGGACCGTGTTTCTTCCTGTAGTAATGATATATAAATATCAACTGCCTGTTGAAAATCACTTGAGCTTTTAAATGTAAAACCTTAATACAAGTAGAAAAGTATACGTTAGATTTATTTTGTATTTGCTGGAACATATGGCTGGCTAATTCAGTAGATTCACCAATTTATAAGATTTACAAAGAAGAGGTCATGAAACTTGATGCTTTTCAGTTTTAAAACCGTATACTATTTGATGAAAGTTTTTCTAAAGAAACTGATACTCATGGTTCTATTAAGGCACAGATTTCTTTTACCAGTCCCTGAGGGTACTGATTAGTCCTAAACTGTTCTATATTTAAGGACAGTGAAGGCTAAATAAAGATCAATAAAAGCTAAACCGAATGTTCCTGAAATCTTTTCTGCAAACGGATAGAAATTTAACCGTGGTTAGTAGAGAAGTAGATATGCCTAAACTCCCTTTGAACTCATGTAATCACTCCTCACCTTGCCCTGCCATCTTGTGTATAATGTTGCCCAAGAGGTACAAACTTTTAATTTATTAAGGGGAAAAAATATGACAGAGTGTTGAGACGATTTTCAGTGAGGTCCAGCAATGATCTGTAAGTTGTAAGAAGCCATTTGTTTTCCAGTAGGTTGATGGAGAAGAAATACACAAAATAATTATAAAATATCACCACCCATAATTGATGATTATACTATGTAAGTATATATATTTATAGTATATAGTACATAGGTATATCTATACATAACTAAATATATGTATACATACATGTTGTATTTCACTGATACCAAGATACTATTAATTATAATAATACACATCATTGATGCAATCAGAGTTTTTCAGAAAGAAGATAAGCATATCAAACAGGCCAATTTTTGGAAGACACGTTCAGATTTCAGGAACTATCAGAATTGAAATGTGTCTTATGATTAAGTCTGTCTGGATTGCTCACTATTCAGATGTAGGGGTTGATACAATGAAAGAAAAAGATAAGTTTTTCTAGGTAGCTAGGTAAAGGGCAAGGGTTGGTAGATCTGGGAAGCAAATTAATATTTTAGCATGCTGTGAAGTTTATTTTAGAAGCTCTAAATTATGCGGGTCAAGTTCCAAGCCTTGTTGAATTAGTTGGGGTTGCCTTTAAATGGGTCACCCTCTAATCATGCCTTATTTGTCCCTCTGGTATATTTACAGGTACTGAAGATGGATGGGGATCATTAGGTTTCTCTTATTATATTGTCCCACAAATATCTTAACCGTGAGTTTTTCAGAGTAATATTTTTCCATTTGTGTCTACAGGGTAATATATATTTGAAGAACTCATGACCATACATCAGTGTTCATGTTTCACTAAGATTGTTTCATTTTCATCCAGAAAAAAGTTTTATTTTATGTAAATAATATGTATTTTTCTGGCTCTGAAAATGATGCATGGTATTGAAGACAACTTGGAAAATGTTGGTACAAAATAGATTACTTAAAGTCACCCATAATAGCCCATTTACCTATAATGACATAATTTGAACTGTCCATTCGTCTGCTTTACATGTTTTTTGATATAAAGTTGAGATCACGTAGTATATATATATTTTTAATTATTTCCATTTAAAATGAACATTGTGAACATGTTATCTTTAAAACAAGATGTTTAGTCTGGGTAGATAAGCAAGCATATGTTCAATAGTTTTATTCAGTGAAATAATTGCTGCTTTTATACAAGTTAGACTCAAATTATCCATGTTATTAGACTGACTTCAGAGAGGAGAGTTTTATAGGCTATCGTTTTAAAGGAAATTTATTGTCATATAAAGCTCAACAAGGGGAAAGTAGAACTAATTATCATATTTGTAACTTGTCACTGCATTTTGTGATACTGTATTACCATGAGCTCAGGTGGTCCTAGATGCTTGGAAATTTTAACAAAGGAAATTGTACAAATTCCAATGGATAATAGCAACCTCAAATTTCATAGTATTTCTGAAAACAGCAGAAAGACTCCCCATAATTTTAAATCATTGTCACAAGTTTACATTTTCTTGAGAGTCTCTGGTCCTTAAAGTTTAATAAGATAGTCCAAATTGATAAAACTCTTTGCCCCTGGTTGAAGAAGTTTCCATAGCATGATGGTTTATTATTCTCTTCCCCCAAAGTATCTGGTGTCTACATTCATGTTAAAAAACAACAACAACAACAACAAAACAGAAAGGAAATAAATATAAGAGAATTGCATAGAATTTTTAGAAATTAATTTAATACACTTGCTTGTAGCCAAAAGGCCAATAAGTGATTAGAAATTAATTTAGTTAAAATTATCTGTAGTATAAATCATTTTTCCTGTGATTTTAATCTCTATTGTGATAAGTGTTAGGCATCACATTTCAAAATAAGGTTCCTTTTTTAGCTCTGTTATTTAGAATTATATCTAGTATAAATGTAAGCTGTTACTGGATTGCCGAGGTACCTGGAAATTCACTGCCTTTAGCCATTGGATTAATGTGTTAAAGGTCACCTTAAAAATTCCTGGTGCTGTGCAAATAATAGGTGCTCAGTGAATGCTTGACTGACTCTCTGATGGAAGACAGCTCTAATAGGCTCCTGAAAGGAGGATGGAAATCTAGAGCATTGGAGGGGAGAAGGAGGCAGGAGCTTAGGACAACATGATTACGTGGGTGAGAGAGAAAGCCACTGAGACCAAAAAAAGAACCAAAAATAAATTCCAAAATGTAAAGAGTAGCTAATTCTTGTTTTTCCCAGAGACAGTATTCTTTTTTCATACTATTTTTTGGTGATTTTCCTTTTTCTGATATTATATCCTAGATAGTTTATGAACCTTAAGAGGTTTTTGCATAGATGTGCATTTGTTGCGCATTCATAGCAATATCTAAGACTGTCATTTCAGAGATTTGTATCAGTCATCTAGTGATTGATAAAAAAATGACATGGAACCTACTTTTGAGATTGGATGATGACATAATAAAGTAGCTTCTCATTTTAATTCTCATAATGACTTTGTGGTCTTAGTTATGTTATAAGTAAATATTGACCTCCTGAATCATATACTACCAAATGGCAGGAACTGGGCTCTTTAGCCTGTTTTATCCTTTCCTCTATATAGTTGGATGACTCAGAAACACTCAAAACTGCAAGGAGATACCACTGCATTTTAAAACAAAGTTGATTGCCTAATCAATGTTAAGAGACATTGAGAGAGAGAGAGAAATCTAAGACTCGACTTTGGTTAATTGGATTGTCCAGTTGTTATCATAATGCAGGATACTGATTCATCAATATCACTGGCCTTTTAGGATGAGTGATCACAGTCTTCCATGTGCATTACTTTATTACTGCCTTTCACACTAGACGATGCAGCTATGATGCTGTCATACTTGCTTGGTCTGAAAATGTTGACAAGTATTGATTTTCTACAAAATAATGGTACCTATTAATCTCATGTTTTATTAATTTCTAATTTTAAAAAGCATGGGTTCAGTTGAAACATTACACTGGAAAAGATGTTTTATTTTTGTTTATAATTGTGAAAGAGAAGATTTTATAGCACCTGCAACTGTCTATCACAATATGCAGCTTCATTGTCTTTTCTTGATTTCCAGTAGCTACCTCAATAAATCACTTATTTTTAATGTCATTCATGAAGAGTATATAAATTATTGCTCTTCCAGTTAAACACAGCATTAATGGGAAATTGTTAATGGGAACTTGAATCATATAAAGTATCTAGAATTTCAAAATGACAAATCTATTATTTGTTATGAATAATAGTCCTGCAGATTAATATAGCTACTTCTTTTTTCCTTTTACAAAATGTTAATCATTCAGCCTAATTCTTTGCACAATAGAAGAGGAGACAAATGTTAAACAAGACAAAACTGTGAATTTTGAAAGATGTCTCCTACTCATTTCTACATATAGGATCATTTCTCACTTTGTGAACCATAGCAGAATAGAATTAAAAATAAATAATTATTAGTATTACGCCTGTCTTTGTATTGTTTTTTCTTCTTTGTGTCTCTTATGCATCACTGCATGATTTAGTAAATATTGTTCTCCTGAATCAAGATATGCAGATGATATTTGCTTTGGAAGTATTACAGAGGTAGAGGTTGATGGATCTGAACTGTTCATCATTGTGTGCAGTTGGCTATTCTTTTCAGTGTGGCCACTATCGCCTTTTCCTCTATGTACTTGTAACTAGAGCTAATATTGTAGAGTCCATTTCTGCACTTATTCAAATAACAGGTCATAGGTAAATATGAACTTGAATAAGTGCACAAATTTCATTGTGTCACTGAAAAATTATTTTCAATTTGATTGACATTTGCAAATAGGAGGCCGTACTTATTTGAACATCACCTATAGATGAGTCTTGTTCTACCTGCTGGGTTGCCAAGTCTAAATATTTTTAAATAACAGTGGCTATACAGGATATAGATAAAAGTCCTTTCCATAAATAAACAAATGTATACAAGAGTATGTTTGATTATTTTATGAGGATTTTACAATAGCTTTTCAGGATTCAGTTTCAAGTCAGTTCTCTCTTTCTGTCTCTGGGGGCTTGCATGTATAAACATACATGCACACGAGTGCACACTGTGGATGTGGATTATTTCATTTTACCTGCATGAAACATTGTCTGTAGTGGCCATTACTCTGTTCCTCTTTATTCTCTTCTATAAATCTCAAATTACTCTTTAATATGTGTTTATGAGACATCAATTTTTATCTGCTCCATATTTTAAGAAGGCAAACACAGTTAAGTCAAAATGACTAATGGGATGGTAGGGAAAAGTATGGGCTGATAAAAATTAAATAGGGCACAAATGATTCCCCTCCAGAGCCATCCTTTTAATATGGCCAATTATTATGAATAAAAAACAGCATTCTAAAACATTTCTTTTAATTAAATGTTGTAATAAAGATATATACCCCTCTGCTTTCCAAGCCACATGTTATCTGTACTATGCTTCAGCAGGCACTAACAATTCAAGAGCAGTTTTAAGCTCTAGAACCTTTTACAGAAGCATAGGAGTCTTATTTCACAGGTTTTTAAAGTGTTATGCATAATTTTTGCCAGAACACAAAAGATAATCATTGGAAAAAATCTACTGTGTTTTCATCCTCTTCTGTGAACATTATTTCACCTCACTACTCTCCCCTGACAACACTGCATTCTCAGGAGCATTCACAAGCCACTTGTCATCCTTCCTTTGTTCCCTTCCAGGTCACACTCCCCTAGAGTTCTTGAAGTGTTTCGCTCTTGGCTCATCATCACCCTCTTCACCACTACTCTTGTTTTAATTACTGATGATTTCAACATTGTGGTAGATTATCTTTCTAATTATCTGGCTTCTCGGGTGGGTCTCCCTGACCCACTGCCCTTCAATTTTCTGTCCTTCATCCTAACTCAGGCACCCAGCCCATGATCATTTCCTGCAACCACTCTGTATTCTCAATTTCAAATTGCCTAATTTCCACCCACAATACTGTCTGTCTATCTTTCTCCCTCTAATACTCTAGCTCCAAAAATATTTCAGTCACACCTGGAATCTAATCCTATCATGTTTTCGCTTCCTCTTGTCCTCACCTTGTAGCAAATATGCCACAGTTCCCTAGTCCATTGTATTTCCTACTTATACAGTAGACATTTTTTTCTTGACTATTCAAATCTCTGCCATCTCTTCCTTCATTCTCCCTCTTACTTGGCTAACTTGGTTCTTGCCTCACTGAGAAAATTGAAGGTATTCTAAAACTTTCACAAACTTTCATCATCACATTTAAACATCTATCTGCAACTTAACTCTATCTACTATTGATGAATTGTCCATGGTCTTATTGAAAGCCACCTCTTCCAAATGTCAATGAGAACCAATCATCCCTACTGGAGGACACTGATTTAGCCGTTCAGTATTGCCCAATCCTTCATTACAGAGAGACAAATAGCTGGGCACTGTAGCTCACACCTGTAATCCCAGCATTTTGGGAGGCCAAGGTGAGAGGATCACTTGAGCCCAGTCTGGGCAACACAGTGACATGGCAACATGGTGAAAATTCAATGCAAGCCTGGGCAACATGGCAAAACCCTGTCTCTACAAAAAATACAAAAATTAGCTGGGTGTGGTAGCATGTGCCTGTAGTCCCAGCTACTCTGGGGACTAAAGCGAGAAGACTGCTTGAGACCAGGAAGTTGAGGCTGCAGTGAGCCATGCCACTGCACTCCAGCCTGGGTGACAGAATGAGACCCTGTCTCAAAAAACAACACAATAGACGTGCTCCTGAGTTATTTTTAAAAATCAAGATCAGTTTCACAGCTATGAAGGATGATATGATATGATATGTTTCTGAATTAGAATAATACATATATATATAGAGAGAGAGAGAAGAAAATGTTATATAAGTAAGTTCTGAATTATGTGTTATAGACTTAACATTTGGGCATCAGTGATGTAAGAACTATTCAGAAATGACTTCCAGGTAAGACTTGAGCTGTGCATTCATGGATGGAGAGATTCTGATATGTGGAAAGAAAAAGCAGCTGTCCCAGGCAAGAGAACACAACACGAGCATGTGTGCAGACGTACAAATGAGCTGGTATAGTCACGGTTCAGAGGGGAAGACTGACTACCTAGTATAAAGGCTTCACAAGATTGTTCGGAAAGAGAGGTCATAGAGAAGGATTCTTAGAACCTGCTTCATGATGGCCTTGACTTTGAGGCCTAATATTAGAGATGACAGTAGAATAGTCACATGGAAATATTTACTAGTTAATTTTGTATTTTCAGAACTGAGATTGGATAATAGAATACACTGAGTTTCATGTCTTCTTTGTTTTTATACTTAGAATCTTCCAAACTGAGTTCACATGCCATATTTTAGGATGGAGGAAAAAGACATATTGAGGGCTTTGAGGCTGATGGTTTGGTGAGCAGAGGGGAAAAGCCTGGGCACATCCAAACTTCTACTCACTCATTAAGTGAGATGCAGGAGGGACAGGCCTGGTCAGCAAAGGAGGCTGTCCCTGTGAGCAGGCTCACACTCAGGTTCAGTTTACATTTCCGCCAACCTGGGCTTCAAGGTATCAGGAGGAGACAGAAGGCCCCATCAGGAGAGTGAGGAGGTCGATGGTTGCTATTCCCGTTTTTTTTTTAGATGGAGTATTGCTCTTGTTGCCCAGGCTGGAGTGCAGTGCGCGATCTTGGCTCACTGCACCCTCCGTCTTCTTAGTTCAAGTGATTCTCCTACCTCACACTCCCAAGTAGCTGGGATTATAGGCAAGTGCCACCATGCCCAACTAATTTTTTTGTATTTTTTGTAGAGATGGGGCTTCACCATGTTGGCCAGGCTGGTCTCAAACTCCTGACCTCAGGTGATCCGCCCACCTTGGCCTCCCAAAGTGCTGGGATTACAGGCGTGAGCCACCGTGCCTGGCCCATGGTTGCTATTTTATGTGTTGGCAGTTGGGAGACCTGACAGTCATTTTTCTCCTAACAAACCAGGTCTTCACCTCACCTAAGGACATCTGATGCTGTTGTTAGCATAGAAATCTCATACCTGCATTATGGTGCAGTTGAAATTTTCTGATGATGGAAATGTTCTATAATATAGATAGCTATTGAGCACTTACAATTTCGCTAGTCCAACTGAGAAGCGAAGCATTTCATTTTATTTTAATTTATTTGAATTTAAATCTAAATAGTCACATGTAGTTATGGGCTACTAAATTTGATAGGGCAACTATAGAGCTAACCTCTATTTAATATTTATTGGGTGTGTCATGTGCCTGGCCTAATCTAAGAACTTTATATGTACCCTTAATATTAACTATTTGAATTTCCATAATAATCACAAGGATTAAGCATTCAAATTTTCCCCATTATAGTAATGAGTGAACTGGAGTAGAGAGAGGTTTAGCATAGGAAGGAAATAGCAAGGTTGGGATTTAAACCTAGTTAGTATATTTACAGAGCTTACACAACTGTGTCTCCCCATCTTTAAGTTCTAAGTTAATCTTGCTCTTCTTTCTTGCTGACATTCATACATTTATTCCTGTATGTTATTACTATGTTCATTTATCTATAAAATATGTCAATCTTTCTTCTTGAGGTGTTATATTTTTCTCCCTTACCACTGCCACTAAAAGAGTGCAGATTCACTTAACGTGTGAATGTCTGAATACGTTTCTGATCATCATCCTACCACCCCTCTAAACAAGTGCCAGTGAAACTTTGGTGTGCACAGAATCACATGGAATACAGCGTGGTTGTTTCTGATACACGAGGCTCAGGGTGAGGCCTGAGAATTTGAATATCTAATAAGTCTCCAGGTGACAGTAATACTGCTTGCCTGTCTGGAGCCACCCTTTGCGACCCTGTACTCTGCCTTGCAAGTCTACTGCCAGGCTAATTGACTTTAAGATAGAATTGTCAGTACGTTTTGGATTCTTTCACTGAAAGACATAACTTTTCATCATTATTTGTGTTTTTGTATGTTGTAGAAATATTAAATTATCTTTTTGTCAAGAGTTGAAAATCCAACTAAAAATAATACAGGAAAGAAGGAGGAGAAAGGGAAGAAGGAAGGGAAAGAAGCAAGAAAAAAAGGAAAATTGGTTTATGTAACTGAAAGCCCAGATGTAGATCACCCTCTAAGATTTATGCTGAGAATGCCATCAGGTGCCCATCAGGACAGATGTGCCTACAAAGCTATGGAGACCACAATAATATTTGAAAACATTAAATGCAAATGGCTATTATTGGAATGTCTTCATTTTTTCACAAAGGACATCAATGTTTCACATGTATTGTTTTACACATTTATATCACCCCCCTCAGTTGAAGATTTAGAGTTTGCTACTCCAGAATTAGGACAACAGCAAATGGCATTAAGGTTTTGTCACTCGTTTCTTTTCTCCTTCTGAACAGCAATCTTTTTTTTTTGAGACGAAGTTTCCCTTTTGTTGCCCAAGCTGAAGTGCAATGGCGCAATCTCAGTTCACTGCACCCTCTGCCTCCTGGGTTCAAGAGATTCTCCTGCCTCAGCCTGCCAAGTAGCTGGGATTACAGGTGCACGCCACCATGCCCAGCTAAGTTTTTGTATTTTTAGTAGAAAAGGGATTTCACCATGTTAGCCAGGCTGGTCTTGAACTCCTGACCTCAGGTAATCTGCCTGCCTCGCCTCCCAAAGTGCTGGGATTATAGGCGTGAGCCACCCCACCTGGCACTGAAGAGCAATTTTTTAAACTTTTTTATAATGTACTTATCTCATGTACAATATGGTAGTGATGATAGTTTTCTCAGCTTCAGACTTACATGATTTAGTTTCTGCAATCTAAGTGAAAAGAGCATTGCTGTTTTCCAATATAGTAAAATTTCATGATTAATTCTAGTGGGCTCAGCTTTAGTCTCATGCTTACCCCTCTAAAGTAGCTGCGGTTAGGATAAGGGAGTATTTCCTAGAGGGAAACTGTGAGAAAGGTGGCTACCCAAGGTAGAATTTGGATCCCATTACCCAGGCAAAGGGGGTGGTATTTTGGACAACAAAAGCACCAGAGATCTGCTCCACAGGGTATGAACCAAAATCATGTTTTGAACTGCAACTTTGATAATGTTCTTTTCATCTGAAACACAGTGGCCTTATGATTACCTCATCAGAAAGGGCTATCAATAATTCCTGTTGCGTCTCAAAAACCTCATCCATGAAAACTGTAACAACATCTGCCCCTAATTAATGTTTTTCATTTTAACTACTGTGACATTTTATTAAAATATTTCTCATCTGTACTAGATAATAAAATAATTGTAAATATGTATATTTGCTCTTTTTCTCTTGTATTTGCATGCATTTGTAGATAGGAATTATTTTAATGCATTACTATATCATATAGGTATGGTAAGTGAATTTAATGTTTGCCCTTATTTTTTTTTTTTTTGGTAGAATGTTAATCTTTAGTGTGTAAATCCAATACTTAAGATCGATCTTCATGCTCGTTTTCACTTTGTTTGAATTAGTTTTTGACGGAAGTAATCACCTATCTTTTAGGATGATTTTTTTAAAGAAAATAATTGTGTTTATGTAAAAATGAATAAAGTAATTACCTGGAGAGTAGAAAACAATTTATCTGTTCCAGGTCATGATGGATAGAAAGTGGATATAGGGGATCCCATCTGGGATGTAAAGTCAGGAAAATTCCCATGGTAGCAAAACACAAAACCAAACTGCTCATTCAGGTAGCAACAAGGGACGTGTGCACTCCAACACTGCGCAGTCCTGTCTTGGCCTGGTGTCTGTTGAGGTCCTATTAAATTTTGCTGAAGACAGTCAATACTAACAAAGACACACAAAGAACTGCTAGCTATTACTTTCCATGATGTTTAGAATATCCTAAAGTTATAAATCAGAATTACTTTACCCTCCACGAGAAACTTCTGAGTTGAGTTTTGTTGTTGTTGTTGTTTGTTTGTTTTTTTGATACAGTCTTCCTCTGTCACCCAGGCTGGAGTGCAATGACATGATCTTGGCTCACTGCAACCTCTGCCTCTGGGGTTCAAGTGATCCTCCTGCCTCAGCCTCCTCAGTAGCTAAGACTATAGGTGCATGCCGCCACGTCTGGCTATTTTTTGTATTGAGTTGGGTTTTAAAATAGTATCTGGCTTTACCAGGAGAAGATGGTGAATAGGAGGCAGGATTAACATGCATCTCCCACTTGGCCAGACAGAACAGTGTATAGAAATTCACACTGTGAACTTTGTTCCGAGAACCACCACAGGAATGTACCAGGAAAACCAAAAGAATTCAGATCCTTTGAAAGAAATGCCATGCTACTGCAAAATCAGCGAGACAGGCAAAAAACTGTGAGTTCCCAAAGTGTGAGAAGGGAAAAACCTGCCTCCAAACACACATCTCCACTGGGGAATCTGAAAATCCAGATCACAGAAGGATTTAACCTTACCTAGAGCTGGAATGGATTTAGGGAGCTGTGTGAAATATAAAAGTAGTAGCAGCAGTGGAAAGAGCCTTGTAGGCACTCCTAGTCTCCAGCTTGAGCCCAGGGAAGGCATCCCTGACTATGTCTCACAGGGTTCCTTGGGGTAGGCAACCAGAGGAATTAGGGAGGGCTTGCAGGGTAAAAGAAGCTTCCAGGTGAATTTTATGATCACTTCTACTAGGCACACACTTCCTTGAGCAGAAACTGGGGGATGAATGGGAACTGCTGCAAACCTGAGCAAAGGAGCCACTGCCATTGTGAGCAGATGGGGAGGGAGGAGAGGTGTGGCCTGAAAGCCATGCTTGCTTTCTCAGAAGGGAAGCTTATGGCCTGGGGCAGGTTTGAGTTCTGCCTGCAGGCTGCCTGAATCAAAACTCAGCACTGTTAATGGGGCACTGCAGGAGCAAGATTGACCTTGCCAACTGAATGAGAGCTGGGTGAGGCCTTTCACTACCAGCTATCCCCCACTTCTTTGGTGAACTATACTGCACAGCAGAGGCAGCCATAATCCCCTTTGGAACATAAACCCATTGGCCTGAGAACCATACCCCTGTCCCCCACAGTGGCTACAACAAGCTCTCTCCAAGGAGAGTCTGAGCTCAGACCCACCTGACCCTGCCCAAATTAATGGTATTTCTCTACCTGCCCCAGTAGCTGAACACAAAAGACATAAATTCTTGAGAGCTTTATGGCCCTGCCCATCACCTGATAAACCAGAATACTTCCCCTGGGTAACTTAGGGCAACCTCAAATCCCACTGCTAATACCACAGCTGGTGCTCTCTTGAAAGAACCACCTCATGGCTGGAAGCCAACCAACTCAGGCCATTACAGCAACTCATGACAGAATAACACTGGTCCCGGGAAAGAGAAAACAACAGTTAATACCACTGCCTACAACATCCTGGCTAACCGGAGGTCCTGAGTCTGTCCATGTGAAAACTTCACTGCTGGCATAACCAACATTTGGGAAGGCCAACACAATAAACCTAGCTACAACCAAAGATTCTCACAGAATCTACATCACCCCCAGCCACCTCCACCAGGGCAGGTGTTAATATCCACAGCTAGGAGACCTGAGGACTGGTCACATCACAGGACTCTTTGCAGATGTTTCCTGGCACCAACACAGAGCCTGGTAGCCCCACTGGGTGACTAGGCCTGGAAGAGCAATAATAATCACTACAGTCTGGCTCTCAGGGAGCCCCATCTCTAGGGGAAGGGGGAGAGCACACCACATCAAGGTATCACACCATGGGACAAAAGAATCTGAACAGTGGGCCTCAAGTTCCATGTCTTTTGGCTGGTGAGTCATTTCTCGCAACAGGGACACAATTGCAGTACTGGGCGCAGGAGGGAAAGTCTGCACCTCTACCCCAATAGACCAGCTTCTGTGATCATGAAGGGCCTTGGAGAAGGGGTACTTATTCCCTCCAGGTACTCCACTAAAGACACAGTTGGGGCTTGCCCCACAGGAAAGCAGCATGGAGGTACCTATAGTCAACCTTCCTAGAACAATTCAGGGTGACTGGAGGTACACCTTCCAGATTCAGGCCTGCATGAGAGGCAGAGTCACCGTTCCTCCCTACTTGGGACATGAACAGTCCTATAGATGAAAAGAGGTGCCTGTCTGATCTGAATACCTGAAACACTAGGACAGAAGTGAGGCTGTGAGGTAAATGGCTTTCCTGCTGACCTGGCAAGGGGAGCTGAAGTAGCTCCCACTCTTCACTCTGATAGAACCTCAGCACATCTAATTGAGAGCTCCCCCAGCCACCCTGCTCAAGACTGGGACCTCGGCCCACTGTTAGATATTACATCTACCCACCTGCCTTAGCCACAACTAGTGCCTACCCAGGGATATATTCCCTATTGGCTTGAAGCCCAGATCATCAACTCAATAAATAAACACCAGAAAAAAAATTAAATAAATAAAGTATACACCACAAGAGAACAAGATAAGCTTCTAGAGATCCCCATCATTACAACTCCATAGGAGACAGTGAACTTACCCACACTTCAAGAATATAACTGCTACAAGTAGCATCAGGCAAAATCAGCACAGAAGACTCTATAACTAAGGAACTCATAGAGTCTTCACCCCTAGAGCACTAATAATCAAATTAGGCTAAAATAAACATTAAAGTCTGATCCTTACGAGGGGAAAAAAGAAATTTAAATTAAAAAAAATACAGTCCAATTAAAAATAAATTCAAGAACAGTTTGAAGAAATAGCCTACTCAAATGAGAAGGAACCAAAAAAGTAGTTTTGGCAATATGACAAAACAGAGTTCTATAACACCCCCGAAAGATCACACTATCTCCCCAGCAACTGATCTAAACGAAGAAGAAATCCCTGAATTACCAGATAAAGAATTCAGAAGGCTGACTATTAAGCTACTTGAGATACCAAGAAAAAGGTGAAAACCAACTAAAAGAAATTAAAAAAAAAAAAATTAAGGATGTTGGTGAAAATTTTCCAGAGAAACAGATATCATTGCTTTTCCTAAAGACAAAACAGTCACAACTTCTGGAAAGAAAAGACACACTTAGGGAAATACAAAATGCAGTGAAAAGATTCAACAGTAGACTAGAACAAGTGGAAGAAAGAACTTCAGAGCTTGAAGACAAGGCTTTCAACTAACCCCATCAGACAAAGAACAAAGCCTCAAAGAAATTTGGGATTATGTTAAATGGCCAAACCTAAGAATAATTGGTGTTCTTAAGGGCACGGTGGCTCATACTTATAATTCCAGCACTTTGGGAGGCCAAGGCGGGTGGATCACATGCTCAGGAGTTCAAGGCTAGCATGGCAAATATGGTGAAACCCTGTCTCTACTAAAAATACAAAAATTAGCTGGGCATGGTGGTACATGCCTGCAGTCTCAGCTACTTGGTAGGCTGAGGCAGAAGAGTTGCTTGAACCCAGTAGGCGGAGGCTGCAGTGAGCCAGAATTACACCACTGCACTCCAGCCTGGGCAACAGAGCGAGACTCCATCTCAAAACAAATACAAACAAAAAGTTTGGTAAACTTATTTGAGGGAATAATTGAGGAAAACTTCCCTGGCTTTGCTAGTGATCTAGATATCCAAATACAAGAAGCTCAGAGAACTCCTGGGAAATTAGTTGTGAAAAGATTATCACCTAGGCATATAGACATCAGGTTATCTAAAGTCAAGATGAAGGAAAAAAATCTTAAGAGCTGTGAGGCAAAAGTATCAGGTAACCTATAAAGGAAACCCTATCAGATTAACCGCAGATTTCTAGGCAGAAGTCCTAAAGTCCAGAGGGATTGGGGTCCTATCTTTAGACTCCTCAAACAAAACAATTGGCAGCCAGTCAGCCAAGAATTTTGTATCCGGCAAAAGAGAGAGAAGGTCACAAACAAATGCTGAGAGAATTCGCCACTACCAAGCCAGCCTAACAAGAAATGCCAAAGGGAGTTCTAAATCTTGAAACAAAACCTCAAAATACACCAAAATGAACCTCCTTGAACCGTAAATCTCACAGAGTCTATAAAACAATTACACAATGAAAAAAAAAAACTGTTTAGGCAACAACTAGCATGATGAATAGAACAGTACCTCAAATCTCAATACTAATATTTAATGTAAATGGCCTAAATGCTCCACTTAAAAGATACAGAACGGCAGATGGAAAAAATTCCACCAACCAAGTATCTGCTATCTTCAAGAGACTCACCTAACACATAAGGACTCACATAAACTTAAGGTAAAGGGGTGGAAAAAGATATTCCACGCAAATGAAAACCAAAATCAAGCAGGAGTAGCTATTCTTATATCACACAAAACAGACTTTAAAGCAACGATAGTAAAAAAAAAAAAAAAAAAAAAGAAGACATTATATAATGATAAAAGTATTATTCCAACAAGAAAATACCACAATTCTAAATATATATGCACCTAATACTGGAGTTCCCAAATTCATAAAACAATTATTATCAGAAATTTAAGAAAATTGAAATCATATCAAGTGTCATCTCAGACCAAAGTGGAATAAAACCGTAAATTAACTCCAAAAGGAACCCTCAAACCTATATAAATATATGAAAATTAAATAAACTGCTGTTGAATGATCCTTGAGTCAACAGTGAAATCAAGATGGAAATTTAAAAATTATTTGCACAGAACAGTAATAGTGACACAACTTACCAAAACCTCTGGGATACAGCAAAAACGTTGCTAAGAAGAAAGGCCATAGCATTAAATGCCTACATCAAAAAGTCTGAAAGAGCACAAATAGACAACCTAATGTCACACCTCAAGGAAATAGAGAAACAAGAGCAAACCAAAGCCAAACCCAGCAGAAAAAAAGCAATAACAAAGATCAGAGCAGAAAAAAATGAAATGGAAACAAAAAAACACAAAAGATAAATGAAACGAAAAGATGTTTATTTGAAAAGATAAATACGATTGATAAACCATTAGCAAGATTTACCAAGAAAAGAGAAGATACAAATAAGCTCAATAGTAAACAAAATGGGAGATATTACAACCAATACCACAGAAATACAAAATATCATTCAAGGCTACTATGAATACCTTTACATGCACAATCTTGAGGAGATGGATAAGTTCCTGGAAATATACAACCCTCCCAGATTAAATCAGGAATAAATAGCAACTCTGAACAGACCGAGAACAAGTAGTGAATTGAAACTGATTAAAAAGTTGCCAACAAAAAAGTCCAGGATCAGATGGATTCACAGCTGAATTCTATCAGACATTTAAAGAACTGGTACCAATTCTACTGAAACTATTCCAAAAGATGGGGATAGAAGAAATCCTCCCTAAATCACTCTATGAAGCCAGTATTATCGTTAATACCAAAACCAGGAAAGGAAATAACAAAAAAGAAAACTACAGACCAATATCCCTGATGAAATTAGGTGTGAAAATCCTCAATAAAATACTGGCTAACGAAACCCAACAGCGTCTCACAAAGATAATATGTCGTGATTAAGTGGGTTTTATACCAGGGATGCAGGGACGGTTTAACATATGCAAGTCAATAAATGTGATACATCACATAAACAGAATTAAAAACAAAAATCATGTGGTCATCTCAATAGATGTAGAGAAAGTATTTGACAAAATCCAGCATCTCTTTATGATAAAACCCTCAGCAAAATTGGCATAGAAGGGACAGGGACATACTTCAAAGTAATAAAAGCCATATATGACAGACCCACATCTAATATCATACTGAATGGGAAAATTGAAAGTATTCCCCCCTGAGAATTAGAATGTGACAAGAATGGCCACTTTCAGCACTTCTATTCAACATAGTACTGTAAGTCCTAGCCAGAGCAATCAGACAAGAGAAAGAAACAAAGGGCATCTAAATTGGAAAAACAGAAGTCAAACTGTCACTGTTTGCTGATATTATTGTATACTTAAAAAATCCTAAAGACTCATCCAAAAGGCTTCTAGATCTGATAAGTGAATTCAATAAAATTTCATGGTACAAAGTCAATGTAGACAAATTAGTAGCAGTGCTATACACCAACAACAACCAAACTGAGAATTACATTAAGAACTCAATCTTTTTTTCAACGACTGGAAAAAAGTATAAATTACTTAGAAATATACTTAACCAAGAAGGTGAAATCTGTCTACTAGGAAAACTACAAAACACTACTAAAAGAAATCATAGATGTCCACAACAAATGGGAACACATCCCATGATCATGGACAGGTAGAATCAATATTGTGACAATGACCATGCTGCCAAAAGCATTCTACAAATTCAGTACAATTCCTATCAAAATACCATCATTATTCTTCACAGAACTAGGAAAAAAAACTATTCTAAAATTCATATGGCACCAAAACAGAGCCCACATAGCCAAAGCATTACTAAGCAAAAAGAACAAATCTGGAGGCATCACTTTACCTGATTTCTTGCTATATTACCAGACTATAGCTACCAAAACAGCATGTTACCAATAAAAAGATAGGTATATAGACTAACGGAATATAATAGAAAACACAGAAATAAATCCAAATATTTAAAGACAACTGATCTTTGACAAAGCATACAAAAACACATAAAGTCGGAAAAGGACACCCAATTCAACAAATGGTGCTGGGAAAACTGGCAAGCCATATGTAGAAGAATGAAACTTGATCTTCATTGCTCATCTTATACAAAAATCAACTCAAGATCGATCAGTGGCCTAAATCTAGAACTGAAACCATAAAAATTCTAGAAGATAACATTGGTAAAACTCTTGTAAGCATTGTCTTAGGCAGAGAATTAATGACCCAGAGCCCAAAAGCAAATGCAACAAAAACAAAAATAAATAAATGGAACCTACTTAAACTAAAAAGCAAAGAAATAATCTGCAGAATAAATAGACAACCCACAGAGTAGGAGAAAATATCTGCAAACTATGCATCCAACAAATGACTAACATCCAGAATCTAAAAGGAACTCAAACAAATAACCTTATCAAAAAAGGGGGGCAAAGGATGTGAATAGACAGTTCTCAAAAGAAGATATACAAATGGCCAACAAACATGAAAAAATGTTGAAAATCACTAATTATCAGGGAAATGAAAATTAGAACTACAATGAGAAACCACCTTACTCCTTCAAGAAAGGCCATAATTTTAAAAATCAAAAAATAAGAGATGTTGGCATGGATGTGGTGAAAAGTGTGGAACACTTCTACACTGCTGGTGGGAATGTAAGCTCATACAAACACTATGGAAAACAGTATGGAAATTTTTTAAAGAACTAAAAGTAGAACTACCATTCGATCCGGCAATCCCACTAGTGGGTATCTATCCAGAGGAAAAGAAGTCATTATATGAAAAAGACATTTGCATGTCTATGTTTATAGCAGCACAATTTGTAATTGCAAAATATGAAACTAACCTAAAAGCCCATCAACCAATGAGTGGATAAAGAATATATAATAATAATAGGATAATTATTATTAATAATTATGTTATATTATTAATTATGTTATATAAGTGGATATATAATATATATTATATATATCACATTATATATTATATATGTATATGATGGAACAGTGTTCAGCCAAACAGAAAATAATGGCATTTGCAGCAACTTGGATGGAGTTAGAGACCATTAATCTAAGTAACTCAGGAATGGAAATCCAAATATTTTATGTTCTCATTTTAAGTGGGAGCTAAGTTATGAGGATGCAAAGGCATAAGAATGATATAATGGACTTTGAAGACTTGGGGGGAATGGTGAAGAGGGATGAGGGATAAAAGACTACATATTGGGTACAATGTATACTGCTTGAGTGACAGGTGCAACAAAATCTCAGAAATCACCACTAAAGAACTTATTCATGTAGCCAAAACTACCTGTTCCCCAAAAACTTTTTTAAATAAAAATTTTTTTTTTTTTTTTTTTTGAGACGGAGTCTCGCTCTGTCGCCCAGGCCGGACTGCGGACTGCAGTGGCGCAATCTCGGCTCACTGCAAGCTCCGCTTCCCGGGTTCACGCCATTCTCCTGCCTCAGCCTCCCCAGTAGCTGGGACTACAGGCGCCCGCCACCGCGCCCGGCTAATTTTTTGTATTTTTAGTAGAGACGGGGTTTCACCTTGTTAGCCAGGATGGTCTCGATCTCCTGACCTCATGATCCACCCGCCTCGGCCTCCCAAAGTGCTGGGATTACAGGCGTGAGCCACCGCGCCCGGCCTAAATAAAAATTTTAAGTAAAGTAAGATAAAATAAAATTGGATCCTCTGCCAAACTGTAAGCTGTTAAAAGTAGGAGCTATGTGAGAAAAACATCTTTCTAAAAGCTAGTTTATATTATTCAGTATTCTTTCTGTAAAGATTCATGTGACAAATTACTTTTAGAAATTAACAGTAGAAAAAGAGTTTCACTTAAACTAGTACACATATTTAATCTGGAAAATAAAACATTCCCATTATAGTGATAAAAGCTCAAAATCAAATTAATGCATAGAAGAATTATGATAAAATTTATATTAAAATATTCTCCTATAAGATTTAAAGGTCTTAATATATTTTTTTCCTGAAAATTACTTTAAATCATTTTCATGTCATTCTTCCTTAAATAGGCTGAAGAATACAAGCAAACAGTGGAGAACACTAGTGTTTGGGAGAAGAAGGATATTTATTTCTCTTTCCTTTTCTTGGAAAATACAAGTTGGTTTCCCAAGTATTAAAATAAAAATCTTACAACCAAAAAATGTGGCTAAATTTTAGGATCTATGATGCATAAGCTGACACTTATGCACAGATGTTATTAATTTCTATTTTTATTTTCTTCACTGGAAACCTGAATCTGGGAAAATATCAGCTGTGAGCTTCAGCGAACACAAGTAAAATTCATATGAGAAGTGCAAACTTCATAAGGAAACTGGCAGTACTGAAACTCTTTAAACTGAAACTGGTTCTAATAGAATATTAGAATGATGAAACACAGCATAGCATCACATGTTCCCATTAGGCATCAATCTTTGCCCCTGAGACCTTCCTTTTGCATAATATAAAATGTTGCTATGGTTTCACATATAGTATCCTTATTATGGCATTAAGAATTATGCAAAATATGTAATATGTAGATTGCAAAGTTAATGACAGCTCTGTGAATGACTGAAAAGCATAAATTTATAATACGCATCATGTTTATTCATTTTAAAAGTTGTTGACATTTCTCTTGGTGTGAGACAATTTGCTATCCATTCTCAGATAGAGGTAAAAACATTAGAAAGACATGATCTATGCAGTGGATTTTATGAGCTCAGTTACATATGTTACCTTCCTTTCTAAGAATAATTGAAAATACGTGCCATTTTTTTTACTGTACTAGTTCCTCCCTAGAATGAGTTAATGCACAGAACATTTGAGAATGACTGGTAACTTGTTCACTGACTAGAGGGCATGTAGGGCTAGGACATCAGAATCTTAATTCACTGACTTCTCAAATAAGGTATCTGCACCAGTTGACTGTTCAATTCCTATCCAGCTATTTTTTTAAAAAAAGTGTTTGTGTCTGTATTTTACATATTATCCAAATAATACACATTCATTGTAGAAAAAAATTTTAATTACTAAAAACAGAACTGTAGAAAGAGCAGAGGATCTTTTGTTTCATTCTGCAACATACAATGTTTTGATTCTATTATTATCCTTCTAACTCGACCCCAATCATCATGCATTCCCAGAATGAATTCATCTCTACAAACCAGACTCAAAAATAGCTGATAATATTTTTACTAATATAGAGATAAAACTATGGAGTTCAACTTGAGACCTTCAGCTATTAGAATCTTACAGAGAATAATACTTCTCCAATAAGGACAAAACTTGTAATGATTACTACCATATGAGATTGCTGTCAATGTTGCATTGAGTCAATTAAGCCAGGGATCACAGGAAATTAGGCCACTAGAAGAACTGGCCCTCCCCAACCATTTGTCGTTCAAAGATAGTGGAAGCAATTGTGCGTATTGAGTCAGAAATGGGAAAAAATAATCAAGATTTATGACTTTAGTTTCCTGGGAGCAATGAAAATTCCCTGTGCTTATTTCAGGGGGATTCACAAAGAAAAAAAATACTTTTTACTTTAGACTTCTTGGACCGTTAGCTAAAAATGTTTCCACCAGTCTAGCCCAAGCAAAACAAACAATAGTTATAAAAGTTTATTTTATTTCTGTAGTGGATTTGAATTTTACACAGTTATAGAAAATTCAAGTATAACAAACATAAAATATGAAGTGTGGGGAAGCTCAATTTAGCTTATAGGTCTGCGTTTTTCCTCTGTGGAGGAAAGTGTAATCTTGCCATTGATGGTAATCTAGTTGCTTCTGGCTTAAAATTCAATCAATTTAGGATTAACACGGTCAGTTCATATTCTATTTTCTTGCTCATTTTTTTTTCTCCCTCTCCTATGAAACTTCTGGGTTCAGGAGTTTTGCTGGGCATTTTAAGTGTGGGAACTGGATTTGCAATTGATTCTTGGTAATCTTCTCTCATTGCTGGCTTCTGCTGAGGTGTGACTCATCCTATCAGATCAATATTGGTTCCCTTGTTCCTGATGCATTTACTGCTGAGGTGCACATTCCCACTCCAGTCCCCAATTTCAGGTTCACAATTACCATGTCTTCTTGAACCCAACCTCAGTGCTTCTGTAGATGATCTTGAATTGCAACCAGTTCACAACTCTAATGACATCTCAAAATTTTCAGCTTTTCTCCCTGTTGTTCATTGGTTTGTATAAGATATAATGAGGCTGTGTTCAGAACTGGTCTAGGCACTTTGCTCAGAAAATAATTTCCCATCCCATAGATGCCATGTTAGTTGCAAGTTATCTGTGAGACTTGTAACATCCCAGGCAGTATCTTGGACAACTTTTCTCCTCTGACATTATTCCACAATTTACTGGGATGTATACTAGGGTTGCAGTAGTCCTACCTCACTGACACATTGGGATTCTACTTGGGAGGGGCCCTGAAATCCACTAGCAGAAATCATCTTTGTTCCTTAAACATCAATCACCTCTTAGTCTCTTTTTTCTACCCACTGCTGAAATTCTTATATCTTTTTGATGAGAAAAACTCTACATATTCATGAATTCCTTTCGACTCCACATTTTTGTTTTTGATGTGATTACCATATTTTAAGTCCTAAAGGATTCAGAAATAAAAACAAAACATTTTTTATCTCAAGTTCTTTTATTATAATTGAAAACCAAAGCATTCAAGAATATTTGTTACTTCTACTAAATACTTTTCCCAAGTCATTTAGAGTGAAAAAGCCCACAGTGTGATTATTGTTTTCACTTTGACATCTCTTCCTGAATGCAGTGTATTTATTGACAGAGGATGGGAGAATTAACCAGAAAAAACACGCAGTTGGATAGCAAAATATTATGGTGCCACAGTTAAATTTACATATTTCAATAATGCGAGTATCTTTGTGTTTTATTTGATAAAGAATTTAGATTTTACGGTCCATATTTTCAAGAACAATGCCCAATTATGTCTAAATGAAGTAGAAAAAATTAATAGGTCATAAATTAGGGGATTACTATATTCTAGTTATAGCAGATCTTATTTCTAAAGCATTCATTTTATCTCAAGTACTATTTTTGTGTTAGATATGCATTATCATTATAATCATATAAAGTGATAAAATTTATTTTATCAATGACAAATTTTGTAAAAAAGAAGTAAAGCAGTTGGCTAAGATGCAGCAACCGGTAAAAGGGAAAATAAGGATCTAAATCCAGATCTCTTCACTCTAAAATCCACGTACTTAACCATTATATGAGTTTTAAGAAAATGACTCAACCTATTTAATTTTATCTCATTTGAACTGTTTATGCTTCTGAAGAGCCAAGAACATCTTTTATCTTTAAAATCTTCACAGCATTTATCAAAACCCTAAGCACATATTTAAACACAAACATATGTTTGCTTCCAGAATGCAGTGTTTTTAAAGTTAAAAAAATGTATCACTGGGAGCAGCAGCTCATGCCTAATATCCCAGCAATTTGAGAGGCTGGGGTGGAGGACTGCTTGAAGCCATGAGAATGAGACTAGCCTGGGCAACACAGTGAGAATTCACGTCTACAGAAAAATTTTAACAAGTGGCAAGGCATAGTGTGCACACACCTGTGGTCCCAGCTACTTGGGAGGCTGAGACAGGAGGATCATTTGAGCCCAGAGTTTGAGGCTGCAGTGAGTTATGACTGTGCTACTGTACTCCACCCTGGGTGGCAGAGTGAGAGAGACCTTGTCTCTAAAAAAGAAGAAAAAAGTATCAACAACAACTGCTCCTAATTAAAATGATTTCTAAGCAAACAAGGAATAGAATAAAAATTTCTTATCCTGATAAATAGTGTCTACCTAAAATCTACAGTTACTAATCAGACCTAATTGGAATATGTCAAGATGACTAAATCAGGAACAAGGCAGATTGCCACCACACCCATGTATTCATGAATTTTTGCAAATTCTGTCCAGAACAAGACAACATAATGTAATGAATTATATGTAGATTGGAAAGTAGGAAATAAAACTGATTTTTTTAATCTAGTAGAATTATTTATAAAAAATTCATAAAATGTATATACCTATCATTAGAATATGTTAGACAACTAAGCAAGTTTTTATGATAAAGGTTAAGTATAAAACTGTTAATGGTTTTCTTATTATCCTACCCCATGCTATGATTTAGGCTTGTATATAACTATAACTAAAGTTAGAAAATGCAATATAAAAGAAAAATTACATCTTCACAAAGCGTACAGTGTCTAGCCCTAGATCTGATGTAATGTGCAAGTAGCTGTGTTGAAAATTTACATATCATTATTAAAATAAATTGAAGACAATTTAATGAAGAGATGTGCCATTTAATATTATAAAGATGTTAATTATCCACAGATTGATCTACAAATTTATTGTAATTCTAATTGAAATCTGAAAAGAATTTTTATGAAGTTTGGTAAGCTCTTCTTGAATTTATATATGAAAACAAATGGCCCAAATATTCTAGAAATTCCTAAAGAAGAAGGGAGATTTTGTCCTATCATATGAGGGTACTTACTGTGTAGTGTTGCTGCAAGAGAGAGACTAACAAGTCGGACTTCAGAGACCAAATCCAGACCCAGTCATTAGTGGTAATGTCATCCATGAAAGAGGTGACATTGCGTTTCAGTGAGAAATTGTGGGCTATTAAGTAATGGTATTGCAGCCAACTGGTTATACTTACAGAAGAAAAATAATGGAACAGAATAGATCCAAGAAATAGACTCAGATAAATATTCTCTACTAGTTTTTGGTAAGAAAGACACAAAAACAATTAAATGTAGGGAGAACAGCCTTTTTAATAAATGGTGCTGGAACATCCACAATTAAAAAAAATAAAGAATCTTGATCTAGGTCTAATAACGGTCATTAAAAGTTAACTCAAAATGAATCATGGACTTAAAAGTGAAATGTAAAACTGTAAATAATTTAACATAAAGTATAGAAGAAAATGCTCACAATCTAGGGGCAGGCATAAAGATTTAGGCTTGGCACTAAAAGCATAATCTATGAAATAAATATGGATAAATTGGGCCTAATTAAAAAAAGTTTGCTCTGCAAAAGTTATGTGAAGAAGATAAAAAGACAAGCTATGGACTAGGAGGAAATATCTGTAGACCACAAAGAGGTCTACAAAGAGAAAAAGCTAGTATCTAGAATATGTAAGAAATTTTCAAACAACAATAACATACAGTCCAGTTAGAAAACAGGCAAAAGACATGGTCAGACATTTCACCAGAGACAATATTCCGATGTCAGAGAAGCACATGAAAAGATGTTTAACATCATTAACTATGAAGGAAATACAAATTAATACTATAATCAGATATCACTACACATATATCACAATGGCCAAAATAAAAATACTAACAATACCAAATTCTGGTGAGGATGCACAGAACTGGACCTGACATACATTTCTGGTGGAAATGAAAAATGTTAGACAAACTGGAAAACATTTTGGCAGTTCCTTATAAAACTAAACATACAACTACCACACAACCCAACAATTATCCTCTTAGACATTTATTCCACAACATTTATTTCCAGAAAACCATGCACAAAAAATGTTCAGAACAGCTTTATTTGTAATAGCCAAAAACTGAAATCAGCCAAGATGTTCTTTAACAGGTGAATGGTTTAATAAACTGTGGTATACTATTTAGCAATGCAAAAGAGAAAGCTACTGATATATGAAACAACCTGGATGCATCTCCAGGGAATTAAACTGACAAACTTTTTTTGTTTTTGTTTTTGTTTTTGTTTTTGTTTTGAGACAGAGTCTCACTCTGTCACCCAGGCTGGAGTGCAATGGCGCCATCTCTGCTCACTGCAAGCTCCACCTCCCGGGTTCACGCCATTCTCCTGCCTCAGCCTCCCGAGTAGCTTGGACTACAGGTGCCCGCCACCATGCCCAGCTAATTTTTTGTATTTTTAGTAGAGAAGGGGTTTTACTGTGTTAGCCAGGGTGGTCTCGATCTCATGACCTCGTGATCCACCCCCCTCAGCCTCCCAAAGTGCTGGGATTACCGGCGTGGACCACCAAGCCTGGCCTGACAAACTTTTAGTCATAGAGGACACATTACTGGAACTAGTAGTTAAGAATATGGTGGGAGTCTCAGGAAAAAGGCAGATATGGTTATGAAAGGAAACATGAGGGATCCTTGTGGTGATAGAATAGCTCATGATCTTGACTGTGGGAGTAGGTACATGAAACTATACATATAATTGTGTGCAAATACACATAAATGAATTCAAGTAAAACTGGGAATTTGAATAAGATTAGGAAATCACATTAACATTGATATCCTAGTTATGATACACTCCAGTTTTATAAAATGTTACCTTTAAGATAAAGATTACATGAGACTCTCTGTATTATTTACTACAACTGCTTGTTAATCAACATTATCTCAATAAAAATGCCAATTTATAAAGAAATTGTTAGAACACATTTGCAAGATTTACATTAAACAAATAATTAGCAAAGGTCAATTAGAAAAAATACAATCGTGGGCAAAAAAAATGTACAGTTTTCTTTTCAGAACTACAATTAGAAAAAATAATTTACTAACTTAGTCATTAAGTAAATTTTAATTAAATTACTTTATCATTTTGTACTCTACAGATTGTCAAGCATTAAAAATAAATTATCAATTTGCAGAGTTGACAGGGATTTGAATTGGAATTCATGTACCATTGGGAGGAGTGCGAGTTGAAACAATTACTTTAGAAAACAATTTGGTGCCTACCAGAAGACACAGCAATTGTACTCCCAGGTTTATACCCTAGAGTAACACCTGGTTATAGAAGGATACATATACACAAATGTTTGTAGAACATTGCTCATGATAGCAAATAAAATCAGTTCACATTAGCATGAATAACCTGTGTTATATTCACACTGTAGAATATTATTATTCATTAGAAATGAATAAACACACTCATATCTACATGGATGAATCCCACAAGCTAAATATTGACCACAAACACAAATCACAAAAAATACATTATGATTCCCCTTGTAAAAATATTAAATCTGGCAAAACTAAATGCATACTGTTTAGGAATACATATGTAAGTGAAAGAAAACTATTGAGGAAAGCAAGGGAAATTATAAAATTCAGGAATATGTTTCAGAGAAAAGAAAGTAATGCTATTGGGGAGGAGGCGTGGAGGCTTCAAAGGCATGTTAGTGTTTCATCTCCTAAACTGGGTGATAGTTACAACAGGGTTATTAAACTTTAAACTCTTAATATATTACATCTGTTTTTTGAATGATGTATTTTACAATGAAAAGTAACATTGTCATCCAATTATGTGTTTTCTCTGGTAATACTTGTGCTTGCACTGATTTTAGTACATGTGCACTGCACTATTTTACCTCCTTTATTATGATAACACATTACCACAGCATGGGGCATGCTGCGGACTTTTAGAAAATATTCTGATTTTTCCCAGCACACTGTGTATTCATTCAGGATACACTGGAAAGCGTGACATTCTGATCCATCATTATGAGTGTTCAGGTCATCCCTCACTAACCTTAGAAGAGTAAACAACACTGATTGCACACATGGGTGCTGCAGTTTTGCTCTTGACCCGTGGTTGTTAAGGATCATTTCTAGAGAACAGTCTCCACCATACATGAGCAAGTTGCAAATATGGAACTGGAAGAAAAAAAAATCCACACAGAATAGAAATAAGATCCAATTTCTGCCTAGAACAAAAGAGATAAAAAGACTAAAATAAATGCTCAGATGAAAGGTTCATTTTTCCAATACGATTCTCAGAGAACCTTGAGAGTTGATTAAACAGCCTTATATGTTTTGCAATTTAATTAGGTAATGTCTTCAACAAAAAAAAAGCCCACGAAAAAACAAAAACAAAAAAACTGAATTTGTCAAAGAAAAATGCTATCAAAGTGACTTTTTTATTAACTCTGATAGTTTTGAAACATCTCCAGCTGATACGTGTTTGCTGTGGAAGCTTGTTCGTTTTGCCTCCACAAGCTACTTCTTTTAATCTTTCTGTTTAATTGGCCATTGCTTGCACTAGTAAAGCTATCAGTAGGAGGATATTTTGAAGTAATGGAATGCTTAAATCTCAGCTTTGTTTCTTTTTTATATAAAGGGCCAGGACCATGGATATTTAGAGTATAAAAACTTCCCCTCCCATCTTAAAAACGCGTAGTCCTCATCCCTGGTCATGGCTTTTCTTCTCTCTTTAGTTTCCACTGCAGTCCCTCTATATATTAGTTAATACATTATTTGATATAGGTATTCTATAATCATTCATTTCTTTAATTCCTTTCTGCAAATGAGTTTCCTTCTGCCCATATATATTTGAGTAAAGATTTTCATTATTTCATTTATTTTTTTTAAACATTCAGGAAACCTCTATTAGACATATTTTTCTTGTTCAAGAAATTATGAGATGTAGCATTAGAGAGTTTGCACTTTTGTGATTACTATTTTAACATTTTAAATAATAGCTTTATTTGAAAAAATGCGAATAATAAAATCAATTCTTTTTAACTTATAGAATTTGGTGGTTTTTTTAGTATATTTACAAAGTTGTGCAACCATTATCACAGTCCAAATGTAGAACATTTCATCAAAAAGAAACTCCATCTCCATTAACATTCCTTCCTTATCTCCCCCCCGACCAACCCCTGGCAACTACTGATTTACAGTTCTGTCTCTTTACATTTGCCTATCTGGACATTTCATATGAATGTAAACATACAATAAGTGGTCTTTAGTTTTTGTTTTTTGACTATTTTTTCTTCTTAAAAAAACTGACCTCTAGTCCTGCAGATCAATATGTGGTGTTTGGGACTGGCTTCTTACATTTAGCATGACATTTTGAAAATTCCTGTTATAGCATGCCTCATTACTTTATTTCTTTTCATTATAGAACAATATTTCCTTGTATGAATGTGCCATAGTTTGTTTTTGCATTCATCAGTTGATGAACATTTGAGTTTTCCCAATTTTTGGCCATCATGAATAATTTTTCTAGGAATATTATGTATAACTTTTTGCATGTGTTTTTATTTAGTTTTGGATTTATAACTAGGATGAGATTGCTATGGCAACTGTGTTTAACAATTTGAGAAGCTGCTAAGCTGTTTTCTGAAGTGACTGCATTATATTGCATTTCCACCAACAGCATTGAGAGTAAGGGTTCAGTTTCTCTATACCCTCACCAACACTTGTTATTGTCTTTTATTTTTATTATAGCCAAACTAGTAGGTGTGAAATGGTATCTCATCATTTTGTTTTGCATTTCCCTGACAATTCAAGATATTGATCATTCTTTAACATTCTTGTAAGCCATTTGGTTATCTCCTTTGGAGAAACGTCTATTTAAATCCTTTTCCCACTTAAAAAAAAAAGGTTACTTTTATTTTCATTATTGAATTGTAAGGGTGTTTTATATATTCTGAATATAAAGCCTTTGGCAGATAGGTGATTTGCAAATAGTTTCATTCTGTATGTTGGCTTTTTACTTTCTTGATGGTACCAATTGCAGCACAAAATTTTATCCATTTTTTTCTTTTGTCACATGTACTTTTAGTGCTGTAATTAAGAAACCATTGCCTAAACCAAGATCACAAAGATTTGCTCCCATGCATTTTTCTAAGAGATTATAGTTTTAGCTCTTACATTTAGGACTATGATCCATTTTGAGTTAATGTTTTGTTTATGGTGAGAGGTCCTGGTCTAACTGCATTTATTTGCATATAGATACCCAGCTGTTCGAGAACCATTTGTTAAAAAGACTGTTCTGTCCCCATTGGATTATAGTATGCTTGTTGAAAATCAGTTAACCATAAATGTAAGGGTTTATTTCTGAACTCTTGATTTAATTCCATTAATATCTATATCTAGCCTTGTACCAGTACCACATGATTGTAATGACTGTAATGATTGTAATGGCTTTGCAGAAATTTGGAAATCAGGAAATGTACATACCCCGATTTTGTTCTTTTTTGCCGGGTCTGTCCTGCAGACCCTGGCTGATGGACGAAATGAGTACTCAGACACAGGTATGCAGTGTAAGAGCAGTTAGGTGACTGCCTGGCTCTAGTGGCCAGACAGCAGCCCCTAGAAGCTGGACCTGCTTGCTTTTATTCAGTGCAGGCACAATGCCAAAAACCTGGAGCCAACACAACCTGTAGGTAATTAAAATTTATTGTTCCCCTTTCGGTGAAGGTCAGGGGCATGGATGATCAAAGGTCAGTTCCTGGTCAATATAAGTAAACAAGCCTGTTTAAAATAAATTCCCCCACCCTCCCTTGTACCTATTCCTTGCGCTCTGCCTCAGGGTTATAGAATAGGTGTCTTCAGCTATTCTCCCCCCTGGGCTCTGCAGAACCTTCCGACCTTTCAGAAGGTTTGCATCCTTTCCCTATAGTTTTTCCAACCACTGTGACAGATCCCCCACACTTTTTCAAAATTGTTTTGGCTATTATCGGTTTCTTGTCAGAAATATTTTTTAATCAAGTTTCCAGTTATATTTGTTTTTGTGAAAGTTTTTGGTTAAAAAAATGCTATCAAAACTAATGTATTGAAAAGAAAGTCTCCTTCCCACTCCAAAACCTCAGACATATCTGTTCACTAAGAACTGCTGAAAAACAATATGTCATTCAATAAATTATACATGCATGTATTATTTTATAAATATTTTATTTTACAAACATTTCTATAGTTTGCCTTATACATTAATGATATTACCTGGTGCTCATGCCACATCCTATTCATTAATCTGTCTAAATGATTGAATAGAATTCCATTGTAATGATGAATTACAATTTATTTAACCAGTTCCCTAATGATTAATATTTAGGTTAATTATGATTTTTTGCTATTATACTCAATTCTGTATGAAAATCTTTTCTGCATTTATTTTTATATTTTTGAAAGCATATCTGTAATGTCGGTCCCTAGAAATTGAATTCCTATGTCAAATATAAGGGGATTTTACATTTTTAAGCACACAGACAAACTACACTCCGGGAGGCCTTCAAGAACTTACAAACTTAGAACAATTTTTCTACATCTTTATTAACCCTGTGTGTTATCAAATTGTGTTGATAATTGTGAATTGGTAGATGTAAAAACATTATATTTGTCTGAATATATGTATAATAGTGAATGAAAATTGAGCATTTAAAATGTTTGTAAGTAACATTTGTAATTGTTTTTCTGTAAAATCCTTATTCTTCTTTGTTCATATTTCTATTTGAATAATGGCATTATTGAATTGAAACTATTTGTTCATATTGAAATAAACCCTTTGTCATGTTTCTTTTACTTAATCAGCATAACTCCTCTGATGGGATCTTCATATCATTCCTAATAGAAGATTGATTACCCATGTATATTTGACTAGGGTTGGCTGGGAGCAAAGGGAAGAAAACTTTTATCATCTAGTATAACAAAACAAAAGATATACAATTCATACATATTATTTCAATATGAATTTAATTCATTTTACATGACTTTTATTTTATTGAAGGTATAAATTACATATAATGATGAACACAAATCAGAAGTATACAACAGATCAATTTAAATAATTGTAAATGCCCAAATAACAACGTCCCATATCAAGATTCACAGTTATTTTAGATCCTCCTTTCTCCCTTCCATGTATATGGACTCTTGGATGCATATGTGGTTTTTTTCCAGTGTGAGTGTATGATAAATAACACTGCTACAAACACTTACGTGTCTGTCTTTTGGTGGACATATGAACTAATTTCTTATGGTTGTCTATGTATAACAAGTGTAATTGCTAGGTCACAGAGAGTGCATATTTTTTTGTGAGTAGAAAATGCCAACAAATTTCTGAAAGTACACCCCACAAGCAATGTGTGAGATTTCTGGTTGTCAGCATTTGTTATTGTCTACCCTTTTCATTTTAGCAATCTAACTAGTATATCACAGTATCACAATACAGTTTTAACTTGCCTTTTCCCAATGACTTACGATGTAAGTGCTTTTTAATATGCTTATTATGCATCTTGATATTATCTTTCATGAAGTACTTGTACAAAATTTACTAACTTTTTAAATAAGGTTGACTACATATTAATTTATAGGAATTTAAAAATGTATTTATATATGCTAGATACAACTCTTTATATTTTTTCTATACTGCCTTTTTCGTACACTATCTCTTGAATAATAGATATATTTACTTTTAATGAAGTCCAACTGATCCTCCTTTTTATGATATTTTACTTATTCTGTTTATAAAATCCTTGCTTTCTCAATGCCATGGAGATAGTTTCCTATATTTTACCCTAGAAAACTTATTACCTTATTTTTCACATTTAAATTTATGATCTATCTCAAATTATTTGTGTATGCATGTGTGGTGTGAGATAGGGTTTTGTATTCCCATACAGATGTCCAGTTGATCCAAAATATTATATTGAAAAAACCCCTCTTTTGCCACTGAATTGTTGTGACACATTTGTCGTAATCACAGTTAATAATAATTGTAAAAGTCAAATTCTAGTTTCTCTATTCTGTTTCATTAGTCTAATTGTGAATTTTTGCACCAGTATGCATGATCTAATTAATACAGTTTCACAATAAGTCTTGAAACCTGGTAGTGTATGTCTTGCAGCTATATTTTTCTCTTTAAAGATTGCCATGGGGAAATGCAAATCAAAACAATAAATAATAATGAGATATCATTTCACTCCAGTTAGAATAACTACTATCAAAAGGACAGAAAATAACAAGTGTTGATGAGGATACAAAATAAAGGGAAATACTTGTACATGTTTGGTAGGAATATAGAGTAGTACAGCCACTATGGGAAACAATATGGAGGTTCTTCAAAAAACTGGAAATAGAATTACCGTATGATCCACCAATCCAACTGCTAGGTATATATCCACAAGAACGAAAATCAATATATTGAAGAGATCACTGCACTCTTGTGTTTGAGTACTTCACAGTGGGCAAGATAGGGGCTCAACCTAAGTATCTGTCAGTGGATGAATGGAAATAGAAAATTTGGCATATATGCACAATAAAATAGTGTTTGGCCATTCAGAAATGAAATTTTGCCACTTGTAACATGGATGGAACTGGAGGATGTTTTGTTAAGTGAAATAAACTAAGCAGAGAAAGATGAATATTATATGTTCTCACATGTAAATGGGAGCTAAAAAAAAGTACATCTCTTGCAGTTAGCATAATGGTGGTTGACTGAGGCTGGGAAGGGAAGAAGAGAGGGAAGATGGGGAGAAGTTTGTTAATGCATACAAAAATACAGTTAGATAGAAGGAATAAGTACTAGTATTCAACAGTATAGTAGGAAAATGACAGTTAACAATAATTTTTGTATATTTCAAAATAGCTAGAGGAGAAGAAAATGCACACAACACCAAAAAAGATAAATGTTGAGGTGATGGATATTCCGATTACCCTGATTTTATTATTACAAATTCTATCTATGTATCAAAATATCACATGCAACCCCAGAATGCATCAACTATCATATATCAATTAAAAAATATAAAAAGCAGATCTCTATGGATATTGTAGATTCTTTGAGTTTCTACATCAATTTTAGAATTCTATGTTTGATTTCTATAATAACAAAAACTGCAACTACAATAGCAACAATATAACTGATATTTTGGTTGGAATAGCATTGAATTTATAGATAACTTGAGGGATAATTAACTTTTAACATTATCTAGTATTCAATTCATGAAAATATCATATACTTCTACTTATTAAATCTTCTTTCAGTCCTTCCAGGAAGCATTTTGTAATTTTCAGTGTTGTAGTCTTGCACATATTCCATTACCCTTTTTCCCCAAATATGTGACATTTTGGTCTCTTTCATCTCGATATTTTTCTTTAATTTCTCAATAATTTGTTTCTAGAATATGAATATGCTGTGTATTTTTGTTTATTGACCTTGTTTTCAGTGACTTCATTAAATTCATTTAATTATAATTGTTTATAGGTCCCTTTGCAAATAAAATTAGTTTTCCCTTTTATATTAAATTTTTATGCTTTATATTTATTTTTCTTAAATTATTGCACTGATTAAAACCTGCAACATAATGTTACATAAATATAATGAGAGTGGGTACTTGTTTTCTTTCCAACTTCAGATGGAAAGCATTCATATGTTATCTATTCCTTTTTTTTTTGTAGTTATTTCTTATCATACTGAAGAAGTTCCCTTCCATTTCTGATATTCTAAGAGTCTTTAGCATGATTGGGTGTTGAATTTTATCAAATAATTTTTCTACAACAACTGAAATAATTATGATTTTTTTCTTGTACTCTGGTGATTTTGTAAATTGTATTGACACGGTGAATTATATTGATTGATTTTTCAAATGTTAAACAAATTTTACAGTTGAGGACTAAATACCTCTTGATTATGATCTAGCACCATTTTTCCAAGTAAGTTATACGAAGTATAAAATGTTTACTTTGATGATAAATATGAATACTTAATTTGAATGATATCACTGGATATGTATCAAAGAAATGTTTCTCAAGTCATGAGACTGTAAAACTTCTCTGTCACTCAGTTCTGTTCATAGCCATGCTTACTTCCTTTCATAAGCAATGTAAGGTTTTTTCCTTGACAGACATTATTTGTCTGTTTGAGACATTTCAGATATTCACATACTTGAAAGAGAAGTCACCTGATATTAAGTTAAGTAGATAACTTAGCTTCTTACTGATGCTACGAAGACTTTTCTATTTTCCCTTTCCTAAGAAAATTATACTGCCACTTTGTGACTCTTTTTTATGTACGTATTCTAGCCCACCTTAACTCTAACTCTTTCTTTAAATGAAAATCGTATATATTTAAAGTGTAAGCTAGGTGATTATTTTGCTCCTTTTTAAGGCTTAAAGTGAGTATTAATTACCACTGACAAATGTTTCTTGAGTATACGGAGCACCACTGAATTGTGTTCTTCTTATTTAATGCCAAATTCTAGGACCTTCTTGGAAATCATATTCTTAACTGAAAAGAAAACCTGACAGTAATAATATTTGTCAGATAACAATATACAAAAACAAAAATATTCCAAGTAAATACAAAAATAAATATTCCAAATGATTTATGACAAGGTGGTAGACATAAAAGTATTAATTGAGAGATATATATGAAAATGTGATTTTTAATCAGAGTTATAAATTATCAATGTACAATACCTTGCCACATGGCAGGAAAAGAATTGTTTTAGATATGAATAGGTGAAACTGCATGATGGGCTATGAGTTATGGCATTTCAAAATTGCTGATTGACCTAGATTAGAAGCTATTTGAATTTAAGCCACTAGGATGGGCGATATTTTTGGGAATGAGTTTTCTTTTTTTATTAATTCTAGTTATCCCAACATCAAGCATGGTATCTGGATGATTGCTTTAAAAATGTTGTTAAAAGATACAAAATTATATCTAGATGGGAAGAATAAAACTTTGGCCTTCCATAGCACTGTAAGATGACTCTAGTTAACATTAATATATAGCTTCAAACAGCTAGAAGGAGGATACTGAATGTTCCCAACACAAAGAAATGATAAGTGTTCAAGATGGATATGCTAATTGCCCTGATCTGATCGCTGTACATCATATGTATCAAAACATTACTGTGTACCCCATAAATATGTATAATTATTATATGTCAATTAAAAAGAAAAAAATTTAAATGTTGAATGAGGTAAAGAATGAACAGGCCAATGAAGGAAGAGCTTGGAATTTAGGGGAAATCAGGAAATGGAAAAAATGAGAGTCTTATTTAGGATAGATGATGAAAACATATGTGTGTAATATATGCTATCTTTTTTTTTTTTTGCTATTCTGTGTGTTCCAGAGAGGCAATTTTGATATGATTTAACAATTCCATGATATGGAGATAAATGGAAAAAAAATCTGAAGGAAAATAAGAAGCAGATTATGCTGCTGAATTCTGAATTTGGGGAACTGACACATGATGGTAATAGATAATTGACGTATAGTGAATGGAAGAATATTAAAGCTGATGTTTTCAAGGGTACAAGGAAATGGGCATAAATGAAAAGATAAATGGTGTGATCTCATTTCATATTGTTTCCTTGGTTTTAAATTGCACCTTAAGGTCCTTTGAATAGGGCTATAGTAACAACGGGAAGCCCAGAGATGCAAATGCTGGGAAGACAGAGAATGGAAAAAAAAAAAAAAAGGGATACTAGGCCCCATTATACCTCCACCTTACATCAAGTTTGGTGGGTAAGTGCAGTGAAGGGAGGTAGAGTTGCTTTTGAATAGGAGTAAAGGTTATTTTTGAAAAGATGTGCATTCTGAGCTAGGGGTGACTTCTAATTGGGAGAAATGTTTGATTTTAGACACTTAAGGGGGCCAGGATGGAGATGAGGGAACAGAAAGCAGGTCACTAGATACTTATGGATGACTAAGGTTTAAGGGAGAGCAGTAAGTGGAATGGACTATATGTTTCTTTTAATTTATGCAGTTTTTACCAGAGTAGAGGAGGTGGGCTTTAAAATTGGTTTCGATGATTCACGCATGTGTAGATATTTATTGAGCACCTTCCCTAGATACAGCTATCCTACATACCAGGATTTCAGCAGTGAGGAAGGCAGACAAGTTAAGGGCTACTGTAGGAAGGGTGCTCAAGGGAGTCACATCTGAAGCAGGAGGAGTCAGTCATATAGCCATCTGGGGAAAGAGTGTGTCAGGAAAGGAAACACCAAGTTCAAGAGCACTAAGGTATTGTTTAGAAATGAAAAGAAGTTCAGTGTATCTGAAACATAGAGTGGGAGGATCATCACACGGCACAAGTTTGCAGAGCTGAGCAAGGCACAGACAGACTGGAAAGAGTTGAAAATCTACTTAAAACCAAGGAGAAAATTGTTGGAAGTCTCTAATCAAGAAAGTGAAAAAATCTCGCTTTATATTTTTAAACATCACCCAACTGCCTTGTGGAGAATGGACTATAAGAAAGCAGAAATCAAAGCAGGAATTTAGGTAATTACAGGAGTACACATGAGAAAAAATGATGACCTGTGGCTGGGCACAGTGGCTCACCCCTGTAATCCCAGCACTTTGGGAGGCCAGGCAGGTGGAACACTTGAGGTCAGGAGTTCCAGACCAGCCTGGCCAACATGGTAAAACCCCGTCTTTACTAAAAATACAAAAATTAACGTGGTGTGGTGGTGCACATCTGTAGTTCCAGCTACTTGGGAGGCTAAGCCAGGAGAATTGCTTGAACCCGGGAGGCAGAGGTTGCAGTGAGCCGAGATCGAGCCACTGCACTCCGGCCTGGGTGGCAGAGTGAGACTCTGTCTCAAAAAAAAAAAAAAAAAAAAAAAAAAGGTGACCTAACCAAAGCAGTAACAGAAAACATGGAGACACAGAGATATTCTTGGGATACATACTGGAGAAATACCCTGAAATTAATTATGTATGGGACACGGTGGGAGGTGTGTCATAATGGACACACACACACACACATACACACACACACACACACACAGCATGCTTCTTCCTATGTTCTTATTTACTGTATACTGATAGTTTGGTTATATATTAAGGTTTTTTATGCTGCTTACCAATTATTTTACTTTCCTTCTTTATTTTCTGTGTGTAGTAAATTTATTGTCTGACATTGTTCACAAATTTAAAAAGTAATCCTATAAGAGGTAGCGCTATTGCTTTATTTTGAAACATGGTGAAGTTGTTTTCACATTGACCTGGGAGCCATTGTTGAAATTAAAAAACCTCAACCTCTCATAACCGACATCTCTGTGAAGGGCCAAGGATCACTGACACATGATTGCATATGTTGTCAACTGTTCTCCCTTGAGTATCTTATTTACTCTATTTTTGATCATGTACGTATGCTTTTTAAACTTTCCCATTAAGTGGCTCTAACACTCAGCCTTTTGAGATTTAATTTGTTTTATTTTCAACAAGCTAAAAGGATTGTCATTCTCTTAGATTGTTTATGTTAATCTCATTAATGTAAATGAAAGTTAAACTAATGGGGAGGATTGTTTCTTTTTTTAAAGCTATGATTTCCTTCTGGTAGTTACTATTGTATGTTAATGCATACACCTGCTTATCTTTTTAAAGTGAGACTAAGCACTGACAACAAATTTAATTAAAGATGAAAGTGATCTATTTGTGTCCACATTTACTCAACCTGCTTACATTTGCAGTTTTGTGCAAAAGTCTAAATATCAAAATTTCTATTACTGAAACCAATATGAAGAATTTATTGTATATTTTTTCTGCTTATATTAGTTTGTTAGGACTGCCATAATAAAATACTATAGGTTGAGTGGCTTAAACAACAACAATTTATTTTCTCACAGTTCAAATGTCAAAGTGCCAGCAGGGCAGTTTTCTTCTGAGGCCTCTCTGCTTGGCTTGCAGACTGCTGCCTTTTTCCTTTGTTCTTTCTCTTCTTATGCATCCCTGGTGTCGCTGTGTGTCCTAATCACCTCTTCTTATAAGGATGCTAGTTATATAGGATTAGGACCCACCTTAGTGTCCTCATTTTAACTTAATTACTTCTGTGAAGGCCCTGTCTCTGAACATAGTCACTCTGTCATACCAGGGGTTAGAGTTTCCACATGTGGATTTTGTGGGGATGTAATTCAGACCATAATAACACTGAAAAGTGGAACGAAGCAAATTAAAAGTATGACAGTATGCCAGAAAATTGTGTGGAATCAGACTAGACTGATCAGTGCCAGAATGCTATTTTATTGTATGTTACTAAAATCTGTAAAGTTCTGCAATGAGGTGGAAGAAGTTTGGCACTCATCTTCAAATGATGACATTCACTATTTATCCCCTGCCTATCCCAACACACAGAGCACCTTGGAATTTAACTGCAATCCCCAGCTTGGTACTTAAATCCCCTTGACTAATGAAGACCCTGCAATGAGGAGTGATAAGAGACATCCAGTTAGACAAAACAAAACTTAATTTCACTCTGCATTTATAGTCCAGAACCCTTTTCTATTTGCCAAGTTGTCACATTATGTAGATCTAGCCCATCAGATACAATTGTAGGAGCTTTTCTTATAGTAAGTATCCAACACATGGCCTGTGTTTGAAAAACGTTTGCTTTCGGAGTCACAGAGACCTGATTATCTCCCAGCCGTGCCACGTAATGTTAGACATCAGCTTGCTCATCGATGACACCCTCATAGGATTTTGGTGGAGATTAATCACTATGACATAGATGTAATGCTGACACACATATTCATACTTCATAGATTTTAGGGCAATTAGAATGCAAGGATATGGTAGACTGTCTTTTACTCAATTAGTCACTCACTTCCATATTTGTTTCTCTATACATTTCCATATTTGTTTCTCCATCAACCTTACAATAATATGAAAGAGCCTCACATTTTTCTAGAGATATGGGTTCAGTGTTCCAGAGGTCTTCAGAATTTTATTTTTTAGTTTTGTCCTAATGCCAGTATATGCAAACACTGATGGATTAACATCTTTATGTTTTAATCATTTATTGCTATTACTAAAGGAAAATTATTTTGATTGCGATGGGGTATGGTAAAACCACTCAGGGACTCTCAAACCTGAAACAACTAGTATTTGTACTGGTGGCTTGTATTGTGCATTTTTTGTCTGTTATTCTCAGAAATGACTGCCCTCAGAATGTAACATGTACTTGAAATTAAAAACCTCACCCTCTGCCTTCTTAGATGTAAAATTTCTCTGTATGTATTGATTAGGAATTGGAGCATTTTTACTCAAAGTTTTAACTTACACTAAACGTGATGTCTTTGAAAGGACTGTTGAAAGTTAAACCTTATATTAGCCCATTCTTGCATTACTATAAAGACAAAGAAAACTAAATTATATCCGAGTGCAATAGTGAACTGACCTGTTGGTGTCAGAATAGTGGAATCATCAAAAAGGAGGAACTAGGAAACAAAGGATTTGAAGTGGCCTCAGAAACCCAAGCGCAAGAGGCTACTTTTGCATGCCAAATGCCAGTTATGTAGATACAGCCAATACCAAAGTGTGCATATGGAAGAAAAATATAAATAAACCTGACCATGAAATACAGACAGCCATATTCTGAGCTGCAAACTAAATGAAGGCCTTGGTGATGGGAGAAAAATATTCGATGTTCTACAGCCAGCCAGTGTTTGCCCTCCCTTTTTTCTTACTACTCCTTTCTTGTTTTTGAAGGCATCATGTGTGTTGGGAATTGGCAAAAAAGCTTATTCTGAGTAAAGCAATGCCAGTTGTTTGGCAGATGGAAGATGTGGGATAAACCCTAGCTTACAGATCCTCCCAGAGTACAATCGGGAAAAGAGCTTTCCTTCCAGATAATATACCTAGTGAGAAATCTGTTCAATTGGGTGAGGCGATCTACAGTGAAAAAGGGACAGAGCTAGAGGGTAGGAAAATTTTCCCCTCGCTTTATCTATACAGCAGACTTTTCTTTTTCTCACTAAGCACTAACAGCAGCAAACTATTCTCAATGCCACTCTCATCCCCAAGCTAAGATCCAATAGCTTGCAAGTGCACTTTCTGTATTGCAGGCTGTCAAGAGGGTCCAAGAGTAATTCTATCAGTAAAAACGTATTCAGGTTTTCCTTGAAAGAGCTGTATGTGGGAACAACTGTATTTTCTACATTAAATTTATGCACCATTATATGCTACATACTGTATGTATATATAGATGTATATGAAAATGGACTTGCAAAAATATTTCTAAATTCATGTGCAAGTTAAATATTTAACATATGTTTTGCATATATTCAGCTACTAAAATGATCTAAATTTAATTAAGTAAAACACTAATTTTTCATGAAAGGTTGGTTTAACAGAAAATGATAAAATGAATAATCTGTCAAAAGGATAGCAAATTTTATTATTATGATCCTAAACTACCAAACCTAGAAATTTCATATTCAAGAGAGGGGTGATTTATGAAGGTGTAAATATGCATGTATTAAAAATGTTTTAATTTTTTTAGAATATCTGAAATCCCAAATTTATAATCAAACTACAATGAAATTTTAGTTATATGTGTGAGATGTCTGCTTTTCCATAGGAGTTTCCCATGAACACATGAAAACTCCTTTGTTTTAAATTTCAAGATCCAAATATTCTGTGGTAAAAGTTGCTCAGTGATGCCTTCTTAGATATAAAATTTCTATATATATAGATTGTGAACTGGAGCATTTTTATTCAAAGTTTTAACTTACACTAAATGTGACTGTCTTTGAAAGGACTGTTGAAAGTTAGACCTTATATTAGTCCACTTTTGCATTGCTATAAATAAATACTTGAGACTGGGTAATTTATAAGAAAAGAGGTTTAATGACTCACGTTCTGCCTGCTGTACAGGAAGCAATGTGGCTTCTGCTTCTGAGGAGGCCTCAGGAAGCTTACAATCATGGTGGAAGGCAAAGGAGAAACAGGCATGTCTTACATGGCAGGAGCAGGACTAAGAGAGTGATAAGGGGAGGTGCTACACACTTTTGAACAACCAGAGCTCATGAGAACTCACTGTCACAAGAACAGCACCAAGGTATAAATCTGCCCCCATGATTCAAACACCTCACACTAGGCCCCACCTCCAGCACTGGGGATTAAAATTTGACATGAGATTTGGTCAAGGACACAGATCCAAACCATATCAGGCATATATTGTTATTATCATATCAATAAAACATGAATCTGAAGGCAAGCTGATTTTATCTTTTAAAATTACATTAACACTATTTAGTAACAATACTCATCAGAAATAGCAATGACACCACAATTCCTCCTTTATAAGTTGACACCTAAAGTTTATGTTCATTGAAATGCTGAAAAATGAGCATGCATAAGACATTATAAGGGTGCAGAAACTTTCAAAACATGACTTTGTGTTTTAGATTTTAAAATT